>NC_000011.10:35817575-35969090 GCF_000001405.40 Homo sapiens | reverse complement strand
TGAGGGGGAAGTGCCCCCCAGTCTGAGGCATGTGGATTCCACGGCTGGAACCTGTGTATAAAATCGTGACTCTGAGCCGGGGACTTGGTACGCACACCATATGCACTTAGGAAAGGGCTGTTCGTAAACAGATCTGTAGACGACAGAGTCCCATCTGCCAGTTACCAAATGATGAGGCCACACGTGAGGAATTTAACCATCTGAAACAGCTAGATGTTAGCTGGTAGAGGGAAAGGCAGGCTAGAGTTGTGAAACCTGCCAGGTTAAATAATTTTCTCCTCTTTCTGCAGAATCACGGTGTTCTCTTGCAATAGATCTTGCCTATGTTGTAAAGCTCTTTGGCTGAGATGGATGACAGAAATATTAACAAAAAACTGAGGCATTAAACATAAATTAAATTAAAACATTAAAACTGAGAAATTAAGCTTTTCCTGTTTGGAAGAAGAGACTCAGAATGTAGGGCAAAAGAAAGCACAGGGAAGCAGGGAGGCCCAGAGCCAGATCCCAGAGAAGAGTGAAGTGCAGAATTCAGAGGCAATGCTTACATTGCCCAGGACTCCTCTCAGTAACGTGCATGAACTCAACACACCTCGGGAAAAAGAAAAAGAAGATCCAGATCAGATTTTGAGGACTCCAGTGTCACACCTTCTCAAATATCCTGAGACACCAGGCCAACCAGGCAACAGGAACAAGCAGCCACATGGTGCCAGCCCCTCTACTCCCAAAAGCCCGCTGAGCCAGACGTTATTTCTCCAACAGCAAAGCCTCCTTCCAGAGGCTCTAAGCATTTGATGCTCACATCCACTCCTCCCAAGGATGAGATGACCTCACTGGCTCTGGTCAATACTAATCCCTTCACCCCAAAGTCCTATAGAAAATTATTCCTTCAATCCAGTGTCAAGAGGAAAATTCGAGATGATCTTGAGGAAGCTGGTCCAGAGGAAGGCAAGGAAGAACAAGGGCTGCCTGCTGAGACATGTGTTCTATGAGAAACCAACATGGCTTCCTACTATAAAAAAGAATGCTCGGAGGTAGAAAAAATTGGGGTTGGTGAATTTGGTACAGTCTACAAGTGCATTAAAAGCCTGGATAGAAGTGTTTATGCAATAAAGCACTATATGAAAACTTTTTCAGGATTTCACCTGAGAATTTGGCTTTGCGTGAAGTTTATGCTCATACAGTGTTTGGACATCACCCCACCTGGTACATTACTACCCCTTACAGGCAGAAGATAACCATATGATCATTCAGAATGGATACTGCAATGGCAGGAGCTTGCAGGCTGCTATATCTGAAAACACTAAGTCTACTAATCACTTCCAAGAGCCAAAACTCAAGGACATCCTTCTACAGATTTCCCTTGAACTTAAATACAGCCACAACTCTGGCATGGTGCACCCGGACATGAAACCTTGTAAAACCTTCCTTTGTCACAAGATGCAAAGTGACTCCTCTGGAGTCACAGAAGTTGAAAATGAAGCTGATTAGTTTCTCTCTGCCCATGTGATATATAAAATTGGTGACCTAGGCCATGTGACATCAATAAGCAAACTCAAAGTGGAAAAAGCAGATAGTTGCTGCCTAGCAAATGAGATTTTGCAAGAGGATTATTAGTACCTTCCCAAAGCAGACCTATTTGCCTTGGGATTAATCACTGCAATGGCTGAAGGAGTAAGGACATTACCCATCAACAGTGCTGCAAGGCACCATAACCATGAGAGTAACTTCCCAGACATTCCTCAGGAGCTCTCAGAAGACTTTTACAGTCTGCTCAAGCACATGATCCACCCTGATCCAGGAGAGAGACCTTCTGCAGCAGCTCTGGTCAGAAATTGGCCCTGGCCCTCCCTGGGGAAAGCAGAAGAGCTCTAGCAGCAGCTGAATTTGGAAAAGTCCAAGACAGCTGCACTGGAAAGGGAACTAAGGGAAGCCCAGCAGGCCCAGTCCCTGCAGGGAGACTTCCATCATGGTGACCCTCGGGTCTTTGGGACCACACGGGATCAGAAAACACCAAATGCCTGGTAGGAGGAAAGAGTGCAAGGTCTTCAAGCTTTACCTCAGGACAGCATGAGCCTCTGAACTAAAGGAAGAAAACAGGAAACAGCCCTTGCTTGGCCTTATGGATTAGGAGGTTGCCCTACCAAGGATCCCAGGGATTCGCTGTACATAGAAAGGAATAGAATTTGGTTTTGAATTCAAGTAACAGTTTACAAGAAAATGTGCCTGGATTTCCACAGTACTTCCCAGGTTATATGATGCTATTTCTGAAAAAGAGTTCCCAACCCCTTTGTGGAAGTGGGTCTCCTAATATATATACCCTTTCTGATATTGTATTTACTAAATAAATGGCTTCACCATTACATGAGGTGGGTAAAAGTAAGACTGTATATAACTTGGACATCTCTGAGCTGGTTGTTTAATTGCAGAACAAAAACGCTGGATGGAGAAGGTTCAAGGAAAACTTGACATGGCTGTTCTCCATCTACTTGCCCTGTCCCTCTTGTGGCCACGTTCTGACTGGTTTGATGTTCCAAGCCTCACCAATTTCCCTTTATTTTATCAGAATTTGGCCTTGTTTCCTATTATTTCATCATACTTTATCCAAATCCTTTTTATGTACACATTTTTAAAGGAAAAGAATACTGCATTTTTGCTTTTTGTTTTTTGGGACGGAGTCTCACTCTGTCACCCAGGCTGGAGTGCAGTGGTGCGATCTCAGCTCACTGCAACCTCCGCCTCCCGGGTTCAAGAGATTCTTCTGCCTCAGTCTCCCGAGGAGCTGGGACTACAGGTGCATACCACCACGTCTGGCTAACTTTTATATTTTTAGTAGAGATGGGGTTTCACCATATTGGCCAGGCTGGTCTCAAACTCCTGACCTCTGATCCACCCACCTCGGCCTCCCAAAGTGCTGGGACTACAGGTGTCAGCCACTGCGCCCAGCCTGCATTTTTAAATAAAGCATTTTATCTTGTCGAAAGACAAATTACAGGTAGAGTACTCTTCTTTGTCATACCGTCACTAACAAAGAATGAAAAATTTACGTTAGAGAACATTTTACGTGATAAAAGGGTAAGAGAATTCAGTAGGTCAGTAGTAACATGCCTTGGCAGTAGGGCCCAGATTCACAGATCCAAAAGTTAATAACAGTCAGGATCTGCTATAAAATAATGTTGGTCATAAAGGTATTTGATAAATTGTTTGTGTCATCTTAATGAATGCAACCTGTTAATGATTAATGGCTTTTTTTACTGTTGGATTTTCTTCTTTTCCTGATTTTAAAAAGCGAATTTTTTAAATTGAATAAACCCTCACACTATTCTTTAAAAAAAATAGTGTGTCTCTGACCCCAAAGACTATTTAAGAGCATTAAATGAGACAGACCTCTCTCCTAACATACGCCTGGCAGATGCTAAATAAATCTTATTCCCCCATCTCTCTTTGGTTTCCTCCCTCCTCTCTCCAGAATTTTTTACCCATTCCTATCTTCACAAAGGCCTCCCCAGTTTCTCGGCACATAGTGAGGACTTCCTGCTTTAGAAAACTCTTCCTGAAACCCTAAATACCCACATACCTGAAAACAAATTACCTACACCCTCCCATGGCCCCCAGCCACAGCCTTGGAGCCTCCTCTCTTCCAGTCAAGCCTCTGAACAGAATAGTCTCTACCAGCAGTTCCCAAATGTGTGTTACAAGAACACCCTGGTCCGTGAAAAAGGGTTCACAGGTTAGCAACAAAAGTAGAAAATGAAGGCACAATTGCAGCAAGCTCTTCTTAGAATTAAACTTATTCCACTTACAGGACCATCCTTCATTCTGATGAGCCATTACAACATTTTTGTATTAAAACATAATTTATTTTAGAAAATAATGATTGGATAATTAGAGAGTGATTTGGTTTTCATTATTCTCATCTGATCAAATAAAAGCGGGTGACTCAACATCAAGAGCCCAAGCTTTTGTTTTTTTCTTTTTTTTCATTACTTTACTGGTCCATAATATCCAAGCCTGGGAATTGTGTTTATTATACTAATCAGTTTCAGTTGGCTGCCTCCACTTCCGCCCCAGCTCAACTCTTCTCAACACTATTTTTTTTTTTTTTGGAGACAGTCTTGCTCTGTTGCCCAGGCTGAAGTGTGGTGGCATAATCACAGCTCACTGCAGCCTCAAACTTCCTGGGTTCAAGTTATCTTCCTACCTCAAGCTTCTGAGTAGCAGGCACTACAGGTGTGCACCAGCATGTCCAACCTAATTTTTGTATTTTTTGTATAGACAGGGTTTCACCATGTTGCCCAAGCTGGTCTTGAACGCCAGGGCTCAAGTGATCCTCCCACCTCAGCCTCCCCAAGTGCTAGGATTACAGGCATGAGCCACCACACCCAGGCTCAACCCTAATTTACAAACCCAGCTTCTACTCTCACCATTCAAGTGAAACCATTCCCTCAATGGTGTCCAAATCTGGGCCTTCTTCCCTCTAGCCTGCATCTGACAGCCTAGACCAGGCCCTGGTTACACTCAGACAGACGACAGCCTCCAAAGTAGAGGCTAACTCCAGGCTTTCCAAACAGAGCCCTGAGCAAGGGAAAGCCTTCCCAGTGCCTATGTCCCAAAGCCCAAACCCCAAGTTCTAAGCTGGGTCTCTGTGGCCTCATCACTACCCCATCTACCAAAGCAAGACTGTGGGGCTGGAAAAGCCCAGGACTCACACAACCTCGCTCTCACCCAAGTCCCAGCAAGTTGTTCAATTTCTCTGAAACTCAGTCTCCTACTGGGTCAAATCACGATCATGACAGTCTTGACCTCATAGGGATCTTGAGGGGATTCAAAAAAATCCAGTGGGTAAAGCACTTTCCCCAGAGCCTGGGACACAGTAAGCACCAAATAATTGGGAACATGGTTAGTAGTAGGAGTGTTCCTAGTAGACAATGCCCTCTTTCTAGTTTTATCTTCCATTGCTCAAGACTCCAGCAAACTTGTAATACTTATGGCTTCCCAAATACACTGCATAGTTTCTCTCCTCTGGGACCCAGCCCACGCCATCCTGGAATTCCATCACATCAAGGACTGCCTTCCCAATCCTTGTTTATTCATCATGGCCGGAAGAAATGGGGACCTCCTCTAACTCCAGCAACATTAGGTCTATATCACTCTTGTGCCACTCACCACATTACTATACAACACCTTACTCAGAGACCCACGTGCACGTTTTCCCTCTTTTCATAAATTCTTCATTACTTAAGGTCAGGGGAAAGTTCTGCATATCCAACCATACCTACTATATTGATTTACAAGTAAGCGAACAATAAGCAATTGTTTTAAAAAGCCAGTGACAATAATACCAAACAGGTCATTTAAAAATAGATGGTAAGCACATACAGAGTGGAGACTTCTTATGGCCAATGTTGAATTTCTTCCCAGGACGAAGAACAGTAGTGTTTACATGTGGGTATATATGTTACAGAAATACCACAAGTTGGGTCTACATCCTGCTGTTTTCCGCAAAGAAAGCCAATGGCTGAGATGATGATTATTGCCAAGGAAGAAGGCTTTAATCGGGTGGCAAAGCCGAGGAGACTCAGTCTTAAATCAGTCTCCCTGAATAACTAAAACTAGAGGTTTTAGGGAAGAAATGTAACAACGTGTTAAAAAAAAAAAAACACACACACACACAGAACTGGGAGAGGCAAGGAAACAATTGTAATGAATGAGGGGTTCTGACATCTAACTGTCAGAATGTGGTGATCTGGTGAGTTTCAGTTCTTTGATATTTTTTTTAAGAGGCCTGAAGATCATTTCCTAAGGAAGGAACACATATTAAAAAAATGTAAGTTTCAAGCTTTAAGACCAGAAGGGTCAATTTCTATGTTTACCCAAAAAAACTATCTATGGGACCGTTGGTTGGTTTCATACATGCACAGACACAAATATGTTCATCCCAAAATCTCAGGCAATGCAAGTGGACAGTAATTAAAATTTTAATAAAATGGCATTTAAATCCATCGTCCTTGTGGCCTGGCCTTCCTCCCTCCACAGTTGTGACTGACTGTCACCATATAACTCTACTTTGTTCTCCCATTAACATCTACATCTCTGTAGTTCTGATCTCTGTGTTGTTTTGATTATGTCTTCTTCTGGTATATCTACTTCTGGTTTAGTCTTTACCACATTATTTCCATATCTTCACTCAGATCACCACTTCCAAGTGACACTGTTATTTATTTTGCAAAGCCAGTCTTTTTACCCTCTGTTTCGTTCCCCACCCACGTTGAGTTCTGAATCCACTAAATGTCCTTTTCATGGTGTCCTATGTATGCAAATAGCTCAAGTCTACAGAGATTTTAATTTCTTTTCATTCTACTTTCCTCTTCCATCTCGCAAACAAATATAACATATTTAAACAGGAAAGGGAACAGTCAGTGTGTCCTCCCCTAAATATGCTTAGAGAAAGGGCATTTCTATTTCATAATCTTTGAGGCTCTTTAGTCCACTGTATGAACTCATTAAACTGGAGGTGGTCCAGAGAGCCCAGGAAACTTAATGAGCCTCCCAGACGCAAGCTGTTCATACCCTTTTGAAGTCAGTGTGGAACCAACATATGGAAAATGATCATCAGCCACTTAGTCCTGATGACGGCCCCAGAGGGTGGGTATACCCTCTTCCACCCAAAATTCAGGAAGAAAAAGGTACTTTCTGTAGAGGCAAAACGAGACTGAGATGAGCCGTTTGAACCAGCAGCAAAACTAAAATATACCTGGAATTCTGAAGACTCTGCTTCCAGAATCTCACTTAGCACTGACCCTGCACTATGTCCTAGGTCATGAAAGAGAATACCCCTAGAACTTGGAGACAAGCTCAAGTTCAAACTCCAAAAACGTGAGGATTTTAGAATCAACAAAAAAGGAAAAAGGCTATTTAAATGTATTTCAAAAAGACCAAGAAGACAGAGGGAAGAACATTTCAAGGAGGGGGAAAAAATGCAAATAATAAATTTTTTAAGTGAAAATGTGAAAATGAGGAGTCACCAAAGTCTAATTTCTAGTTCATGATTAGTGACCAGAAATTTCAGGACTGAAATTTTCAGGAGGATCAAGAGTCCTCATCTCGGTTTTAAGACCACAAACAGGATCACAGTCATCCCTGGCTTAAAATATCCTCATTGTACATTTTAAAATAACTAAAAGAGTATAATTGGATCGTTTGTAACACAAAGGATAAATGCTTGAGGGAATGGATACCCCATTCTCCATGATGTGATTATGAAACACTGCATGCCTGTATCAAAACATCTCATGTACCCCGTAAATATGCACCTACTCTGTACACACAAAAATTTTAAATTTTAAAAAAATTTTAATATTCTCATTGTTGTTAGAGTAAAATGCAAAAGCTTTACATAGCCTGCTGTACAAACCAAAGCACAACTGAGAAGTCACTAAGTAGAAACTCATTCATTTATTCAACAAGCTAGGCACTGGGGGTTTGAGATAAATGACACTCCCAGCCCTCAACCCTAGTCTCGGCATGGATTGGTAAGCATGTGGTGAGTGCTCCTGAAATGCCAGCATGGGCTAAGCAACCTGCATTCATGATCTTGTCTACTCTCCCCAAGAATGCTGTGAGGCTGCTATTAACCTTATCCTCCTTTTACAGGTAAAGAACACACTGAGGCAGAGCAGCTCTGTAACTGGCCTAAGTAAGGTCACGCAGCCAGGATCTGACCTCAGACTGTTTGGTTCAAGAGCCTGCCTTCTGAACCATCACTCTCCCACACCTCCAGTGGAAGCGGAGCCTAGAAAAGGGCTCACCACTGCTTTGCTTATCTTCTTGCAGCAGTGCACCCTGGATGAATGGTCCCAGCATCACAGAATGAGACACCCTCCAGGGAGGAGGAGCACATGGCTGACGCTCACTGCCTTCTATACGCTGAGCCACGGGGGCACCAGAATCCACACAATTGGGAAACATTCTGATCTCCAGCAGAATGAGACCTTATCACCCAGTCCTACGGTCCAGAGCTGGGGCCTGGACGTTCATGCCATGCCAACAGTAGAACAACCGCCTCTTAACTGCCTGTCATGAATGGCCTTGGGGTTCCCCATCCATTATCCACCTCAGCGGGAGATGAGGGAACAGGCCTGGCCACAGCCCACCACTCCCCTGACCAGTCATCAGGGGCAGGCAAATTAAAACCAAAGCAGGCCGGGCACGGTGGCTCACGCCTGTAATCCCAGCACTTTGGGAGGCGAGGCGGGCGGATCATGAGGTCAGGAGTTCAAGACCAGCCTGGCCAACATGGTGAGACTCCGTCTCTACTAAAAATACAAAAATTAGCCAGATGTGGGAACACAAGCCTATAATCCCAGCTACTAAGGTGGCTGAGGCAGAGAACTGCTTGAACCCAACAGGCGGGGGGTTGCAGTGAGCCGAGATCGCGCCACTGCACTCCAGCCTGGGCGACAGAGCGAGACTCTGTCTCAAAAATAAACAAACAAAACAAAACAAAACACAGCAAGTCACCACCTTGCACCTTGGAGAAACAAATTAAAAACTCTAAATTCCAAATGTTGGAAGAAAAGTGGAGAAACAGATGCTCTCATAAACCACTAATGAGAGGATAAATGGGCAGGACCATTTTATAGAGAAGTTGGCAATATCTACTCAGGTTGAAAACGTGCAAATCCTTTGATCAGCAATTCTACTTCAAGGATATTATTATAGAGAAAGTCCTGCTATTATGCACAAAAATTTTCACTGCAGTGTGGCTAGTCATAGTAATAATCTAAATATCCTTTTAAGAGATGAATGAGCAAAGTGTAGTATATTCATATAATAGGATATTCTACCGCAGCTAAAATAAACTGTATCTGTATGTGGCAATGTGGATAGAACTCAAAATTATAAATGGGATGGAACTCAAAATTATAAAGGTAAATGAAAAAAGCCAGCTGCAGAAGCGTAGGCCATTTGATAGCCACCTAAGCACACTTTAAAATCCTATGCAAGGGATGTAAGTGCACATCAGTAGCAAAAGACTAAAAACAGGGACAGAAAGGATATATGCCAATTTGGGGATAGTGATGACCTCTGGGCCAAGAGAGAGTAATGGGATGAGGCAAAGTCTTTGACTCTATCTGTAATACATTTTTCTTTTTTTGGCGGGGGATGGAGTCTCACTCTGTCACCAAAGCTGGAGTAGAATGGTGAGATCTTAGCTCACAGCAACCTCAGCCTTCTGGGTTCAAGCAATTCTCATGCCTCAGCCTCCCAAGTAGCTACAGGGACCACAGGTGTACCCTACCATGCCCGGCTAATTTTTTTTCTGTATATTTTTAGTAGAGATGGGGTTTCACCATGTGAGCCAGGCTGGTCGCGAACTCCTGGCCTCAAGTGATCCACCAGCCTCAGCCTCCCAAAGTGCTAAGATTATAGGTATGAGCCACCACACCTAGCCACATTTTTCTTTTAAGAGGAAAGCCTGAATTATAATGACATATATTAAAAATCTGATAAATCTATATGATAGGTACACTACTGTTTGTTATACTGTTCTCAGATCTTTTACGCTATTCGGAAGATTCAATAATTTAAAGTAATTAAAAATATATTTTAAAGCACCCAAGTTAATCTTATAATCATCTAGGCTTAATAAACATTCAAGTATAGAGAACAAGCATAAATAAACTGCAATACTGTGTGTTAAGTTCTACACGAACAAATACAAGTTACAGGCAGCCATTAAGAAGTCAGAGATTAATTCTCTGATTGGGAGTTGAAGATGGGAGGACACTTTTCTAGAATAGGAGATTCACTAGCCAGGTTTCAGAGGGTGAACAGGAAGCTTTCTCTGATAAACTGTCTGCAAACACAGTCATATCCTTAATTAATAGTGAGACCAGACAGCAAACAAGAGCACACAATCCATACGGCTGCGCTGAGCTGTGGGAAAAGTTGCGAGCTGGGAGACGGCGTTCCTTCTCCATCAGGCTGACCAGAATCATGTGCTAAAAAAGCCAGCAAGAAACAGGGATCACTATGGTACCGACACCATCTTGATTTGTATCAGTTCACCCGTGTGGCAAGGCCTGGGAGCCTGGAGGCCCAATGCTGCTGGGAGGGGCAGGGGATGGAGGGTCCAGTGACCACAGAGCCTTCTTGCAAAGTTTCCAGGAGGGTCTGCAATCTAGACGAGAGCAGCGCACGTCTGCACACGTGAATCAAGGTCTGGGGTGGTTGTCACCTTGTACTCATGTAGTATGGTTTTCAGTCTTTTTTCCACCCCCTAGGTAACACTCTCCCATCGATCTCAATGAGGGAGAGGAAGAGTGGCTTCCTCTTCCCCAACCCTTGAATATCACTGCTGTAAAATGTAGGGGGTAGTTAATTGATGGGAAAAGGTGGACTGAAGAAATTGGAAGAAAAGAAGATCCAAGGCTGGGCAACAACAGGCTTTGGAACAAAATGCAATAGTAACACCAATGATCAGACCAGGCACCCAGGAGTCCTGAGAGAGCCTACAGGAAAAGGAGGGCCCTCAAGAATTGACCTACACCAAAGGTCAATTCTTCGAGGTGACTGACATCAGATCTCTAGCTTTTAGTGAGTGGGGACTACTACGGCCAGATTGGACTGAACAGAAGAAAATAAAGAAATGAAGTGCTGGGCACCAAGCACCATGGGGCAATTTGTACCTCACACACATACACACTACAAATTTGAATCATCTGTTTCGTAAGAATTTTCTTTCCGTGGAAGAATTATTCTACAGTAACACTGTCCATTAGAACTTTCCTCAATGACAGAAATGCTCTGTGTCTGTGCTATCCAATCCCATCAGCCACATGGGACTATTGAGCATCTGAAATAGGCTGGGTGTGACTGAGAAACTGAATTTTTACATTGTATTTAAACTTAACTAATTTAAATTTCAGTAGCCCCAGGTGGCTAGTGGCCACCTTACTGGAGAACACAGGTCAGTGACATCCTTCTTAATGTCTGCATAGTATTTTAGTATACTGGCACGATAACTCTCCCCTACTAGTGAGCATTTTGTTAGTCTCCAGTGTTTCACCACTATAAATGATACTGCCACAAACACAGGTATCCTCATTGCCAAACTTTTGTACACATTGCAAACTATTTCACTGAGTTAAAGTGCTAGAAGTGGAATTGTGGAGTCAACGGGTAATTTCTGTTTTTAGGGATTTCCTACATATTAGAATCACCCACTTAAAATAACACAGATGTGTACGGCATTGTATTTTTTTCTTTTCTTTTCTTTTTTTTTTTTTTTTTTTTGAGATAAGGTCTCACTCTGTCACCCAGGCTGGAGCGCAATGGCACGATCTCAGCTCCATGCAACCTCCGTCTCCTGGGTTCAAGCGATTCTTCTGTCTCAGCCTCCTACCTGAGACTATAGATGCACACCACTGTGCCCGGCTAATTTTTGTATTTTTAGTAGTGACGAGGTTTCGCCATGTTGCCCAGGCTGCCCAGCCCAAACTCCTGAGCTCAGGTGATCCACCTGCCTCAGCCTCCCAAAGTGCTGGGATAACAGGCATGAGCCACCGCACCCAGCTCATTTTACTTTTTACTAGCTGTTTTTACATCCTACACGATTCCAACTGGATTCTCATGACCATCATGTAAAAGCAGAGGGGCCAGGTAATGTCATCTCCTACATATAGACAAGGATATAAGCTGTGAGGCAGCATGTTGCTGGCTTGGGTGGGTCAGATGATTTTTACAGCCAACATCAAAGAATACACCCAGCATTCTGTGATGGGAGACTTCTTGTACTCGTAGATTAGTGTAACATGGGAAAACGTCTATGCTATATTCAGAAGTGAAAAAAGCAGGACATGAAATTATATTCCACGTATGATCAAAACTATCTAAAATCAATATAAATAAATAAACCAATGTGTTAAAAATCTTTAGGTGGTAGACTGTATGTTATGTGTTTCTACCTTTTGTCCAAGTTTTTATAATAAACCTATTACTAATCAATAACATTTAGTGAGCAATTATAAATAAAGTGTGGCCAGGTGCAGTGTCTCACGCCTGTAATCCCAGCACTTTGGGTAATCCCAGCACTTTGGGAGGCCGAGACAGGCGGATCACGAGGTCAGGAGATCGAGATCATCCTGGCTAACGTGGTGAAACCCCATCTCTACTGAAAATACAAAAAATTAGCCGGGCGTAGTGGCGGGCGCCTGTAGTCCCAGCTACTCAGGAGGCTGAGGCAGGAGAATGGTGTGAACCCGGGAGGCAGAGCTTGCAGTGAGCCGAGATTGCACCACTGCACCCAGCCTGGGAAACAGAGCAAGACTCCGTCTCAAAAAAAATAAATAAAATAAATAAAAATAAAGTTAAGTGTTTTGCATGCATTATCTTATTTAAAATATTTCTACATGGTAAGGACCATTATTATACCTATTAACAGACGAAGATGTGATGGATTTAAAAAGTTTAAGAAACCTAGCCAAGGTCAAGGCAAGGAACTGGAATCTGAACCCAGACTGACTCACTCTAAAGCCTGTATTCTTAATCACCACATCAATGCCTCTCAAACTTTAATATGCACATGTATCACTTGGGGATCTTGTTAAAATGCAGATTCTGATTCAGGTGATGCTGATGCTGTTGGTCTGTCAACCACACTAAGAGTAGCAAAGCTCTACACAATCCATATTGTAAAATCTTAAAAGAGAAAATACACTATATTCAACCAGGAAAATGTTTTCTAATAATTATTTTGAATTTTATTTTTAGAGATGGGGGTCTTGCTATGTTGCACAGGCTGGTCTCCACTCCTGGCCTCAAGCGATCCTCCTGTCTCAGCCTCCGGAGTAGCTGGAATTACAGGCATGAGCCACCATACCCAGCTCTGTTATCGAATAATTTAAATAACATGAAAGCTTAATAATATATAACAAAAATACACCTTCTCCTCAGTAACCTTTACATCCTCTTTCCATCCATATGAGAGGCCCGAAGCTGCTCTTGTAAATTCCCACCAGCAGACTCCCCTTGGGCAGCCACTGGTGTCAGACTCACTAAGCCCAACTCAAAGTTAATCAACCTTCTCATCTCATTAGCAGGAAGGATTTTATCCCCATAGCTTCCATGAGTGAGCACTTCTGTAGATCCAGGGAGCAGGTGTGTAGGAAAGGCCCCTGGGGGCTCCCCAAGGAACTGGTCAGTCCCACCCACCATTCCCACTGCACACACCACCCAGTCCTCAGCACCTGATGAGCACTTCCCCATTCCCACAGACTTTACTTAAAACATTAGAACTATGTATTCTCTAAATATTTTAACCTTCCAAAATTTGGCAAGCACCAGCTAATTTTATACTTGAAGAACCTTCAACATCCTTTCATTATGTTCCTAATTCTTCATGTCTTTTTATGTGGGATGATCAGATATTTGTTTTTTAATGAATCTTTTGTCATTTGCAGTAACCCTGTTTATCTATTTTAATGCTTAATGCTATGAAATTACTTATATGATACCATAAAAGTAGTCCTTACATAATGGATTTTATTTCCTTAACTTTTCACTCTATTTATATCTCTTGAATTTTACTACGTGTCCGAAAGTGAGCAGATAGGTGATTTCTTTTAATAAGAGTAACATTTTGCTTTACATTTAGTCTTTAGTTGATGTATTCATATCACCTTCCACTTACCTTTAATGTTATATTTACTGATGTGCTTCCTTCCTGGAATCATTTGCGTGGTTTGACCAGCAAAGTTTTATTTCCTTTTAAACTAGACCAGAAGATAACCAATTGTTCCTTACTATTTCATGTGTTTAATACTGTTTTTTTGTTTTGTTTTGTTTTGAGAGAGAGTCTCATTCTGTTGCCCAGGCTGGAGTGCAGTGGTGCAATCTCAGCTCATTACAACCTCCACCTCCCAGGTTCAAGCGATTCTCGTGCCTCGGCCTCCCGAGTAGCTGGGATTACAGGCATGTGCCACCATGCCCGGCTAATTTTTATATTTTTAGTAGAGATGATGTTTCGCCATGTTGGCCAGGCTGGTCTCGAAGTCCTGGCCTCAAGTTATCTGCCCGCCTCGGCCTCCCAAGGTGTAAGCCAGTGCACCCGGCCTAATACTGTTATTTTATAAAACAGACCTGCTTTAATTTATTTCCTCTTGGTGACCTCTCCTACTTGTTCAGTAAACTATGTAAACTCCCTTCAAATGGAATTAAGATGCATAGCAGTTTTCATTAGCCTGTCAGAAACCCTTTTGATATGTCACATGCTAGTCTCATAATGAATCTAATTTATCACCTGATTTAAAATTGCTATAATACATTGCCCTCTCAAAGGCCTCTTTTTCTTTGTCTTTTTAAGCCAAGGGATATCCTGTAAAGATCTTTCCAAGTCTTTGAAGATCAATGAGACTGTTCTAAACTCCAGCGAAGGAGAAGCAATTTTCACCAAAAGGCAAAGTTAGCTTGGCCAGGTAAATTTCATTCACCATGGCTTAGTCTGACTCTCCCAATTCCGTCTCTTTTTCAAAGTCATAGTCATGTCTTTAGTGATCCCCTTCATTCCTTCTTGTAGGGTAACTTACAGGAAATCCTACTGTGTGCCTGATACTATGCCAAGCACTGAATCAGGTTCTGGAGTATAACAACAAATAAGATAGACATCAAAAACACAATAGACTCCATCCCACCTCATGGAGCTTTAGTCACACAGGAAAAGAGAAGAATTCTTTTTTCTGTTCAGGATTGTTGCCAAGTCACATTTTATGGGTACTTTTAAAAGATGTTGACGTTGCCCTTCAATTCTGGGCAGTGTTCCTTCCGCTGAATATATATACATTCATATTTTGTACCATCTCTGACTGTTCTGGTATGCTTATTATTCAAAAACTGAACCCTATTATATTTTTGACACCTGTTAGCTTTTCTTGTATTGTCATCATTATCATTTACTTGAATAACACAAATGAACTCTGGGTATGCTAAACCTTTATTATGTCACCACTGCCCTTCATAGGATCCACCGATGTTTATTGTTACACTGTAACATTTACAAGATTAGTTCTATCTTTCATTAATACCAAATATTCTTAATGTAAAAGTCATTCTTTCCAACTTTATCTCTTTTACAGTAGTAAGCATCAACTCATTCCAATCCTGCTTCCCCAGGTTCCTGCCAGCTGGGCTCACTTGCTAGTATCATACTTTTTAATCAAGCTTATGCCAATGTTTTTATCAATCTGTTTTTGAAACACCTTATTTAGTTCTGTTCTGGTTTCTCTTAGCATTAACCATTCTTTACAGCTTGAACTCTGATGAAATACCCTATGTTGCTAATCACTCTTCCCCTCCCCAAATTCCCCCAATTTTATTTTTATAATAAAAAAACAAGTTAAATTTAGAACTTTCCAAATCAATCAAGAGGCTTTTTTCAACGGACTGTGGAACTACAAGTGTGACTAGGGCTCATTTTTCAGCCATGTCCAATTAGTTTAACGACGCCTGGAGAACACTGCTCTGATTCAAGGCTAAAGCTGAAGGAAAATGTTCCAGTAATGCCATCAAAGAGGACACACTTCTGACATTCGCTAAGCCAAACTCACTCGGTCTTATAATAATGAGAAGGGATTTTTAATGCAATAAAATTAAACACCCTTTATGCTTTCATTTCTTTATGCCAACAAACACATAAGTGTCCCACTGCCACCTGGAACACTGGCACCTTGGGTATGCAAGTCTTCTAAATCAAGTTATTCATAAATTCCACATCCTTGCAGCACCCGGATGCCCAAGGCCTGTTCCAGAGTAAGCTAAAGGGCCTGCCCTCCCTCCCCGTGGCCGCTCGCCAGGACAGAGACAACATCGTCTGCACACTGCGCTATTTGTCTGTCAAAAATCACAGTTGGATTTGGGCAACAGCGAATTCACCCAATTTATCACCTGTCTCTTGATATCACAATGACTCAACAAAAGGAGAGTCCGGTTCTCAGGTCTCTGGAAAGGCCTTGGGAGTAAGTTTAAAATCCTGGGGTTCACTCTGCTCTGCCTGTAGCTAACACTTTACAGGCCTGTGGCATTACTTTCTCACAAGACATCACTGCCTACTTTCGCACAAGAGCCCCTTAGTTTGAAGCAACAAGATGGGGCCAATTATTTCTAGTTTCTTTCTGGAGCAACATATTAAAATTTCAGCTTCCACAATAAAGAACATCAATCTCTAGTTCAGGAAATGTTCTCTCATACATGGACCATATAAGCTTAAGCTCAGGGTCAGAAAGTAATTCTAAAAATACTTTAATTTCTCTTTTGATACGAGGCATTATCATCAGTACTGTATCTTTGTCTAGAAAATATATTTCCAGACTTTTTGAACAGTGGGCCCTTCTATTTGGCACCCAGCACTATTTGAGGGAAGTGCTGAAAAGAAATTGCTTTTGGTTGGTATTCCAACAAAATATTCCCATAAAGGGGGGAAGAATTATCTCTATCATTAATATATTCAAAGGCAAGTGTCATGGTGCTGAAATAACTTGTTTATTCTTATTTTTGTTTAATAAATTCAGTCTTTGCAAAAGCCAATTTCAACACCTATACTGATACGTTCTCCACATAGGAGAACAGCAGTTTCTATCTGCCAAAGACAGGCCATTTGAGTAGAATCAACTTGAGATGCCCCCCACTCCAATGGCTCTCTAACAAATCATTCTATCCAACACGATAAGCATGAAGTCAATATTGACATCCCTATGCAATGCTGGAATTCTCCAGCACAAGGTAGACGGTGCAATTCTTCTCCCAACACATACAGACTTGGATTTCTATTCTATACCAAAGCAGCAGGGCCAGTGGTTAGGAGACCAAGTCTAAGTCACGCAGACCCACGTGCCAATTCTGAAACTATCTCTTACTGGTCGAAGGTTTAGGAAAGTTACTGAACCTTTTAGTTTCCTCATCTATAAAACGGTAAAGCATACTACCCACCTGAATAAACTACTCTGAAAATGAAATAAGATCCACCAGCAGGGAAAGCATTAAATAAATTATAGTATGTACACACACCAGAAAGCTGTTTTTAAAAGCATGGGTAGGTATATAAGAGCCGAAAGAAAGATGGCCAAGAAGACACTTTTATTTGATGTTGTAACATCTCTGACATCAGGATGTACCTAATGGCCAACTGCATCTTCTAAAAGCACAGGGTGGGCGGAAGCTGTGATTTATTGGTCACTGGCAGTGCCTGGGTAAACTTGGTCACAGCTGTTCCTATTTCGTCACTTCCCTCCAGTTATGTGCATGGCTGGTACTACACAGGTTGAAGTGACCTGCTATTTAGAATGTCCTTCAAAAGATGATGTTAAAATGTGGCATTGAAATGAAAAATTAAACACATTTGTGTATACACAAAGAGGCAGGGAAACAGCATGAATTTGATAATAGTGAAGCAAATATCTCTCACTGCAAGAAATTACCATAATTCCATATTTTCTTGCAAAGCAAGAGCCAGCCCTTTAAGAGAATTAAAAGAGGAAAACACAAATAACTGAAGGTGTATCAGCTGTGCTTCTGAGATAGCAACAAAAGGGGTGTCTGTTCAAGAGCCGAGCAAAGCAAGGGAAGGTGAGGGAAACTGCCAAATTGCTTGGGACTAACTGAAATGTCTAAACAACAGGAGACAGATGTGACGCATTCACATGGCTCAAAATAAAATTGATGAAATATAGTACTTGAGTTAAAAAGCCAGCCAAAAAACTACAAATAGAGACAAGCAGGAGCTCATTAAATTATGTCTCTGTGTGTGTGTACCTGTATATAATTATAAATCCATGTTAAAGCTAAATTGATATATACCAGACAATTCACAGTAGTTACTTAAGGGAGGGGAGAGAAATGGGAAAGGAAGATGAAGGAGGATTTTAATGTTTTATTATTGCCATTACTTCTAATTTGTATGAATTTTGTATCATAAGCACGTACTCAGTCTGTGTATTTTTTTTTAATTTTTTATTTTTTGAGACAGAGTCTCACTATGTCACCCAGGCTGGAGTCAGTGGCACGATCTCGGCTCACTGCAACCTCCACTTCCCAGGTTCAAGTGATTCTCCTGCCTCAGCCTCCCAAGTAGCTGGGATTACAGGTGCGTGCCACCACTCCCGGCTAACGTTTTGCATTTTTAGAAGAGACGGGGTTTCACCATGTTAGCCAGGATGGTCTCGATCTTCTGACTTCGTGATCCGCCCACCTCGGCCCCCCAAAGTGCTGGGATTACAGGCATGAGTCACTGCTCCTGGCCCCCGTGTATTATTTTTGCAGTGTTTGTAATTCAAGAAGTTTATAACAAAATAAGACACGTACAGTGCTTGCCACCCTGCCAGACAGAGTAAACCTTCAATGAATGGGAGCCACTCTCACTCTTCTAGACACCACAAAAGAAAAAGTATCACAGACACTTAATATATGATCCCAGTCCCTCAAGGAGCTTTCAATCTAGCAGGATTTAGAAGGTAAGAAAGGTTTTACATATACAGTATATATATATAACCAGGGTATACACAGACATACACATACACATACACACATACACATATATACTGTGTATGACCATAAGGTAAAGAAGGCTATTGTCCAAAAGCCACAGAAGACATTTCTAGCTCAAACCTCAGAAGCCTAGAGCTAGAAAAGTCACAGAGCACCAATACACGTATACCAGTATTTTATCTTGAAAGCTAAAGAAGCAAACTAGGACATGTGTCATCACCTCTGAAACCTGTTCAAGAATGACACATTGATTAAATATCCCTGAAGACGCAGTACCCATGTTTGCCTGGGCACTGTGACATCTTCACGGCTCTGTGTTCCCATCAAGGTCCAAGATCCATCAGTACAACTCCTGTCTAGAAATGCCTCCGAGATTACACTGGCAGAGAGCCTCTACCCTTCCCAGATAACGAAGAAGGTCAACAATCCCATTTCCATCAGTGGGTCATTTGGGTCTTCAAGGGCAAAGAACAAGTTTTACATGGCTTCGCCTACCCCTGGAAATAGACACAGTGCCTGGGTGTGGCAGAGATGATGGCACAATGACGAACAACCAAATAAAATATTAAGAAATTGCTAACTATCCAAAGACAAAGAAAATGACATTTGCACACTCAGGAAGCTAAAGCTCCTCACTACAGAAGGCTTTTCCAAGAGGGCATGGTTTCAGATAAATGGACCTGAACTGAAACAATGTGCATTTCTCCCCAGGAAGCCATCGTCCTCCTCTGGGTGCCACCTTGCATCCTGTGAATTCATGCCCAAAAGAAGACAGCTGCAGATAAGTTATGTGGCTAGTCTGAAGAGAGGTGGAAGCACAATTCTTAAGGAAGGTTTGGAACAGAGCAAAGCAAAACGACAGCTGGAAGGAAAAGTGTCTTAAAGGAACTGAAGTGTTATAAAGTGACACAGAGCAACAAAGAGACTTTAGAGAAAAAAGTGTACGATGAAAACTTCTAAAAACACACACACACAGCTTGCCGCTAGTAGAGATGATTTTCCCAAGCACCTGCAGAACGAATCAAGTTGTAAGGCCTTTTGATGGCAAGGGAGAAGGAATTATGGGGAGGGAAAGGGGAGCCCAGAAGAACAATACCTACTCTGTGAAGTGGAGGAAGGGGAACTTCCAGGGTTAGGATTTCAACACAAGACTTCCAAGGCAATCTGGCAGCTTGTGCTCCTATAGCCCTCCCTCAGGGCTGCTGAACCTCCCAGGTTTAACATTCAGGGAACCAGGTGGCTTTTGGTGTCAGCTGTCACCTGCCTATCACCTGCTTTCTCTGCATATGTCTCTCCCAAGGAAACCACATATAGAAAATTCCAGAAGTTTTCACTCTGACACAAGAGGAAAGCGAGAGGGAAAGGGTCAGTGCTGACGGCATTCCTGGTTAAGAATGGGTTTTCCCATGGAACTGTGTGGCTACAAAACATAAAGCCAAAGCCCAAAGGCCCTTGGGAGGAGGATGGCATCTTGACCCCCTGCATCCAGAAGACACACTCAGGATGCACAGTAATGATGCACAGTAATGATGCACAGTAATGATGCACAGTAATGATGCTCAAGATGCATGGCAAGGACACTTGCTCATGCTAGACCAGGGGTTCTCAACTAGGGGCAACGTGGCAATGTCGGGAGGCATTTGTGGCTGTCACCGCTGTGGGTGAAGAGTAAGCCAATACAGGCATCAAGAACTAGTGATGCTGCTGTGACCATCCCGCAATGCACAGGACAACCCCCACAACAAAGAACTATCCAGGCCAAGGTGTCGTTGGTACCAAAGCTGAGAAACCCTGCCCGAGACTAACCCCATCCCTGCAACCACCTCCAAAAGCCCTAAGAATCCTATCTCAAGTAAACTTTTGCTCTCCCCCGACCAAGCAGTTACTCTGTCATAAAAGTCCACGTACTATATTAAGATGTATTAAACATCAAGCCAATGATGTGACGAGCAAATACGGCATATCAAAAGTACCTGGCTGCTCTCCCAGCAAACATCTTCAAGGTACTCCTTAGCATCCAAGTGAGTAGATTTTTTCACAACAATAGAAGAAGGCAGTTACATACATATGCACATGTGTGCATGTGCACACACACACACACACACACACACACACACACGATCAGCCAACTTAAAAATCTCCCTGGTTGTCAGGTAGAGGCACTGGCAAAACAACAACAAAACTGCATGGTTAGAATGGTCCAAGCATTTCCTAAATATTTTGAAGACAGAAAGAGGGGAAAAGAACAAACAAGAAAACCCAACAACCAAAAATAGATCCATCCCTGGGGCAATCCCATAGCTAAAAACAGTTCCATCACTCCAAGGCATCTCCATGGTGGAAAGTACCTTATTTTTTTAATTCTAAAATACAATAAACACATTTTAAGAGGGGAATACGAATTTAGAGCTCAAAGAATGAAAACGAACCCCCATGTAACTACAATTCGGGTCAAGAAATCGAACCCTGGCTGGTATCATCTCCCCGCCTAGTGTTTGTCACTCACCCACACACACAGCAAAAGGACCAGAGTTAGTCTGAAAAAGTTTCATCTTCACATAAGGATTGAGATGTATTTTATGTATTTACCATGAACACCAAAGTATCCTGCAAAGAAAGCTGATGTCTCTGCTGAATAGATCCTGGGCAGTGACCACAAAGTGAACAGATTTGGGGAGGGGGAGCATTCATGTAAACAATCTCACTGTGTCAATTCGCAAGAGCACTGTGGAGGAAAGGCATGGAAGCATGGTGCAGGAAGCCTGGAAACAGAGTGGGAAAAGCCCAGGTAGGGGGCAAAGAGAAGCTTAAGTTAGAATCTAGGCTTCAGCCTTTACTGTGGTACCCTGGGTATTATCAATCTCTCCTGAACCATACAATGATTTCCTGCCACATGATATCCTTGGCAAGTTTCAATGGGATCATGTGCTTAAAGTAATGAGCAAAGCATCTCACACACAGGAGATGCTTCACTGATAGTGGGTTCCCTCTCTTTCCCTTGCCCACAGAAACAGGCAAGGTTGTAAAGGCCAATTCTTTTTTCTTTTTTTTTTTTTTAATTGAGGCAGTCTTGCTCTGGAGTGCAGCGGCGCGATCTTGGCTTATTGCAACCTCCGCTTCCCAGGTTCAAGTGATTCTCCCACCTTGGCCTCCGGAGTAGCTGGGATTACAGGCGCACGTCACCACACCTGGCTAATTTTTGTATTTTTAGTAGAGACGACGGTTTCACCATGTTGGCCAGGCTGGTCTCAAACTCCTGACCTCAAGCGATCCACACATCTTGGCCTCCCAAAGTGCTGGGATTACAGGCGTGAGCCATTACTCCGGCTTAAGGCCAATTCTTTAACATGAAATTACTTGATTATAAGTGTTCCTAAACTCCAAATTCTCTAAACTGCTTTACAAAGGTGACAATACAAGTCCACTTTCAACTTATCCTGCAGACTGGCTGAAAGGTGTCTAAACCACTCTTCAAGGCCCAGAATTTACCACCCCACCCTCTCCTACTCCCATCTCTCTCCCTCCCCCACTTATCCCAGAGTAAATGGCCTAAGTCGGCTGTCAGGAAAAAACATCTCACACCCCAGTAGGGAGCCTTAGTCACATCTCTTTGAAGATGAAAAGCAACAAGGTGTGTTTATTTGTACTCTGGTGTACAAGGCCTCTTTTAGGCCTCATCTTCCCGAGCTGAGCTGTGCTGAGATGTGCACAGCTACTCAGCAAGTTAAAAACAATAAAACCCACCCCTCACACCGTTAAGCAGATCTTTCCAGGAGAAAAGGTCAATACTCACTCCTGGGAGTACACTCACTCCTGGGAAAATCAAGCCTTTTCACTGATACAGAATGTCAGGAAGTCTAGGCAAAGGTCAGTCCTGGAGGAGGTGAGAAGATGGACCATCATCCAGCATGGCTGCCTTTAGAAATGTCTCAAGCCATACGCACTTAAACCCACTGAGTCCACCCACATGCAGGAAAACTGGACATCAGATGACATGACTTGGGCTTAGTCTCTCTCGCAGGATACATTAAAAAATAGTAACGGTGAAAATCAATGCTTCACTTCCCTAACACAAATAAAAACAAAGGAAGAAAAAAATATGCAAGGTGTCTGAGAAGGTTCCTGAATAAAAAAGGCCTCCAAACTGCTCTTGGAATGTCAGTGGCTTTCCAGCCCCACAAAGACTCAGGACTCTAACTACGGTTCAACCTTGACCCTGGGATTCTTTCACAGACTATCAGATGGAGACAGAGATCCAAAGTCTTGGCTTTTACAATCTCTCTTGTTTTATCAACTTCCCAGAAGAGGATCCAAGCATAGGCCATGGGATGGAGGGGTAGGGTCTCTGGTCTGGCTATGAAACCCAAACTGAACCAAACAGGCTTTTCTTATGGGCTGGGAGCCCAGGAGCATCTAGTTGACATTAGGAAAAAGGACCAGCCCTGTTTCTGGCAACACTTGGGTCAAAGTGAAATCTATGCTAAAAAGATGATGCTTAATGTAACATGAAAGATGCACACACTCCAACCTGCCTAGATGTTTCTAAGGCAGCAACTCTAAAGGTAATTCAAAGCCCACAGATAATGGAAAACCCACCAGGGACAGTTGGACTATTCCTCCCCCTATCCGTCTGCTCCTTGCTATGACCATTTTATTTATTTTAGCCCTATCTCAGATGTACACACACACATTAAATAGCCACTGCTGACCAGAGAGGGACAAAATTAACTTTACAACTATTTTTACAGAGATGGAGACTCAACTAAAGCAACCCAGTACCAACTGGGAGATGCAATAAATAAGTTTCCATTTGGCTACAGTGGCTCTCCCAGGACACACACAAGAGCCAGCTTCCATACTGTCCTTCTCAGGTGCTATGAGGGGACACACCACAGCTACACAGATTGAATTTGTGAATCCAAACAGGTCTTCATATCTGTAGACGCCCTGAAAATCGACCTGCTCTAACAGCCTCCAAACAATTCACACCTGCTCCTGGCTGCCCAATGTCCTGTGAGAACTCTCTCCCCAGGTGGACTAATTTAAGGGCACTCTCACCCAGACCTGGTTAAAAATCCACAGCAGTCACCAGGAGGTCTAGTCCCTCCCTGGAAGCCCAGCAAACCCATAAGCATCTAAATGGGGTATCAGAGGAGTGGAGATGATGTCATGGGTCTGAGAGCAGGAAAGGCTGCCCAGTGGGCTGTGAGGATGCCCAGGACCAGGGACATCAAGGAAGAGAGGAGATATCCCTTTAACGCATTCATAACTCCAAGGCACAGCTAAGAATGAAGTGAGCCTCAACTTAGCAAACCCACAGGCCACCAAAGACACCTCGACAGCCAAGCTGCTAGAAGCACTTGGCAAAATAGGGCAGCTATTGGACATGTGGATGGCACAAACACCAGGCAGGCAAGATTCTGCTGAAGAAAGTTCACTGGGCCCTGTCACCCACATTCTAGGCATCAGATGCCCAGAAATAAACGTCAAGGGGCCAAGGGCGGGCCCAGTCCAGGAGGGACAGCTGACAGCTGTGGGCGGCGGGCAGGGGCAGAGGAGGAAGGGCTCCCAGGCTGGAATTCGGATCATGCCCACATCAGCAGAAAAGTTCCTGGGAACAGCACGCTGTCTGGAAGGGAAAGAGGCTTGCTGCGGTCCAGGCCCCGGGATGCACACGCGGTGGTGATGCCAGGTTCAAAGGGCCGCCGGATGAAGCCCCGTGTCCTCTCCCAGGGCCCCTCGCCGGTCAGGGCGCCCATCGCGGGGCAAGTAGGGTGGTCAGACGTCTTAAATAAAGCTTCGGTTCCCAGGATCAGTGGGGAAAAATGAATTCCCAGATCCGGCCTTGCTTCAACTCACTTTACCCAAACCAAACAGTCCCAGAGAGGAATGAAAGGAAGCAGCTTTGCTACTCCCTCCGCGGTGCAGGTGGGGAAACTGAGGCACGGAGTGCACGCCAGAGACTCGGGAAGAGGCCCAGAGGAGGCTAACGCAGCCGCGCGCGACCAGGCGTCTGGGAAGATGAGACCAGGGAAGAGTTCTCTCCTCTCCTCTCCTTTCCTTTCCCCGCCTCCGTTCCTCAACACACACAACACACACACAGCCACACTCGAGCTACGCCCAATCGGGGCAGCCGCCGGGCTCCCCAGACCCGGACTGCACACAGAGCCCCGCCCGCGCACACAGCACAACACGACCCGGCGCGCACGCCCACACAATAGGACGGCTCGCACCCCGCGGCGGCCCCTCGGCAGGGTCCGGGCCAGCCCGGCGCCGGGGTCCGCCCTCCGCGCTCACCCACGCCCGGAGAGCGGCCCGCGCCCGGGAGAGGACGCGATCGCACCCGGCCGCTGCGCCCCGCGCCCCGCGCCCCGCGCCCCGCGGGAAGTTCGCCGGCCGCCCCCCGACTCACCCGCGGCGCTGCTCAGCAGCAGGCACAGCGGCCCCAGCAGCCACATGGCGCGGCCGCCGCTCCCGCTGCCCGGCGTCGTTGCTGCCCCCGCGGCCTCGGCGCTGACCCCGCCCCTCGCCGCGCCGTCCCCGCCCTCCCGCCTGGCCCTCCTCCCTCCCGCCTTCCCCGGGCCCGGCCCCGGCCCGGCTCCGCTAAGTTTTGCAAGCGCCTGGGCTGCGCGTGGCCACCCGCATGTTACCCTGGGTGTCCTGACTCCGAGGGGCCGCCGAGCGCGGCGGAGGGTTCAGCCTTTCGGTCTCTCAGCCTTTCAGCCTCCCAGGTCTGGCCGCGAGGATCTTCTAACAGCCTGGGCTCTGTTCTCTGCTTCCTTTTGTCCCTCTCATTTCTGCCTTTGCTTCCACACCCAGCGAGATGCAGCGCCCAGACCAAAACTTGAGTTCTTTACTCAAACTACAAAGTGAGTTTACTACCGAGAGAGAAAAAGTTAAAATAAAGGGTCAAATCTTATGAGAAAATTGTAGTATATTTTTAGTAGCGAGTGTGGAATACCAGTGCTTCTCAAACTTTAATATGCATCCGGCACACTTGACGATCTTGTTAAAATACTGACTCTGGTTCAGTAGATCTGGCGTGGAGCCTGAGATTCTGCATTTTTAACAACATGGTGGCTGATTCCAAGGCTGATGATCCGGGAGCCACCGGTAAGAGCAGCTGACACCTACCATGCACACAGCGTGGACCACATGAGTTATTTTGTCTGCATAGTGTCCACCTTGACCTGTTGAACGTTTGGGACCCAATTTGGAAAAAATAAAATTAAAAAAAGGAAAAGGTCATGAAAGGCAGATACCCAAATGCAAAAAATATAGCTGCACCAATGCACTTGCTTCCAGAGGGCACTGGTGAAAAGCCCCAAAAGACTTAGATGGTGGAAGAAGGGGATGACACTTCTGTGCTCCACTCTCTCTGATCCCCCACCCAAAAAAAGCAAAAGACTAACGCAAATAATTGCCAAAAACTGGAAACAACTCAAGTGTCCATCAATTGATAAATGGATCAATAAATTAAAACTTTTGGGGGCAGTGGGACTGTTCTAATCTTGATTATAGAGGTAGTTACACAACTGTATACATTTGTCAAAACAATAGAACTGCATCCCTAAAATCCACCCCTCAAAAGGGTTGAGTTTATTTACACAAACTCCACCTGGCTGAAAGAAAGGGGAAGGTATGGGTACAGGGGCAGTTATAAAAGGGATGCCTGCGTCAGATTTTGGGATGCCCTGGAGACACCCTCAAGGGTGTTAAGATTCAATTACTTTACTCTGTAATTGCGTGCTGTAGTCTGGAAACATAAAGGCTAAAAAGGATCAGGTCAAAATTTAAAAATACCAATGATTGTTCAAGGTAATGAGAAAATGTGATGTGAGGGAGGAAAGGTTAAGTTCCATAGTTCATAGTACACATGGAAAATATAAATCAATTATCTAAATGATTTGGCATTCGGGGCTTTTATCCTGGGATTGATGAAT
Organism: Homo sapiens; assembly: GCF_000001405.40. NCBI lineage: Eukaryota > Metazoa > Chordata > Mammalia > Primates > Hominidae > Homo > Homo sapiens. The sequence goes on along the minus strand of NC_000011.10, from coordinate 35,942,613 downwards.
ATTATGGAGATCGTCCCATGGGCTTCAAAGAATTTTAAAGCCCTTAAAATTTTATGCAAAATGTCCTGTGCATGTGGGTATGTGCATTGTTCCGGGAAGCTTGTTGGGAAGAGGCCTCCTGCCTTTGATAATAATATCTGAGGAGGCAAATAAGCAAATAATTTCTCCTACAGCTGCTCATTTGCCTCCAAACATTAGGGATACGGAAAGATAATGCAACTGACCCACTGCTATAGTTCTTATTTCCTTAGGTTTCTTTGGACACATCAACTTCCTTACTTTGCAAGTTTGACTCTGACTCTCTCTCTCGTTCTCTCTCTCTCACATACACACAGGCACACACACTTTTAAATATAAATATATTAATGTCTTTGAAATCATTTGGACTAATGTAAAACCTTATTTAAGGTCAACTGTTGTATTTATTTATTTATTTATCTATTTATTTATTTATGAAACAGAGTCTCACTCTGTTGCCCAGGCTGGGTGCAGTGGCACATTTTGGCTCACTGCAACCTCCGCCTCCCGAGTTCCAGGGATTCTCCTGCCTCAGCCTCCCAAGTAGCTGGGACTACAAGCACCCGCCACCATGCCCAGCTAATTTTTGTATTTTTAGTAGAAACGGGGGTTTCACCATGTTGGCCAGGCTGGTCTCGATCTCCTGACCTCGTGATCCGCCCATCTCGGCCTCCCAAAGTGCTGGGATTACAGGTGTGAGCCACCGTGCCCGGCCCGACTGTTGTTTTTATACTTATACTAAATCACTGCCAACCTCCTCCTCACCGTATAAGCTGGGTAGGAGATGAAACTATTCTTTATACTTTATTACTCTCCTTTTTCCCAGTTCTTTAGAATTCCAAGCGCAAAACATTCAGTTTCCAGGAAATGTGAGAGGTTTCAGTGCTAATCGTTTAGGTCTATGGAGCCAATCAATCTTTTTTAAGATTGGTTTAATAAAAATAAAAAACAAAGTGCTTTATGTCTCTTATTTACCAAGAGACACTCTGACCATGCATGTGTGCTTCTGACACGGTTTCACATTGCTGAAGGAGGGAAGAAAGAATGTCGTCTCTCTGTGGGCCTCCATACAATGCTCTGTAATTTGCAAACATTTTCTCATTTACTCCCCACAGCAGCCTCTGCAACATTACAGGTGAAAATAGCATAAACTGAACTTGTGGTGTGTCTGAGATGTGCTCCTATGCTCATTTCACTTGCCACAAACTAGCTCTGTGACCTTGTGCAAGTTATTAGCCTCTCTGAGTCCTAGTTTCCTTATCTGTAAAATGGGGATTACAGTATCACCTGGATCTTAGGGTTGCTGTCCAGGATTTAAACAGATAACATATATAAAGTATCTGGCATGATACCTTGCACATAGTAATTGCTCGAGAAACATTAGCTTTTGTGTGGTCGTGGTACACACTACAAGGCAATTGTTGTGGAAGCTAGCTTCTGAGATGGCTCTCAAAGATTCTCACCTTCTAGCATCCATGCCTTTGTGCAGTGTCCTTCCACACTGAATGGGGCTGCCATATGTGACCAATGGATATTGTGGAAGTGACAGTAGGTAACTCCAAGACTGAGTCAAAAAGGACATAGCAGTTTCTTCTTTGTTCTCTTTGATCACTTGTCTTGGGGGAAGCCAGCCACCATGTTGTAAGGACACTCGAGCACCCCTGTGGATATGTCTATGTGGGAAGAAACTGAGCTTCCTGCTCTCTTGCCAGCCTTGGAGTGAACCATCTTGGGAGCAGATCCTCCAGCCCCAGTAAAGTCTTTGGATGACTGTACCCTTGGCTAACATATGATTGACCTTTCGGTGAGCTGGAATAAAACCCCCAGATACCCCCAAATTCCTGATACACAGAAACTGGCAGATGTAATAAATGTTCATTCCTGTTCTAAGCCACTGACTTTCAGGATAATTCACATGCAGTAATAGATAACTAGTATATCTGCCTTTAAGGTCATCCATAGGGTTGACTTAATGGTTCCATAGGATCTTTTAAATAAGTTAGTACATGGGAAACACTTAGAATTTTGCCTAGTACATAGTAAGCACTCAATATATGTTAGTTTTGTTATCACAGGTTTTTTTTTAATCGTCAATATCATTACCTCTCTCACAAAGCACCTAAGACGCAGACCTTTCAAACTTTCAAAAAAAATATTTAAACTTGAATAAGAGTAGGAACATGTGGCAACTGACAAGAAGATAAAAGGAGCAGAGACACTAGAAGGACCAAGGAAAAAAAAAACCTTACCTACAAAAAGTTTACTGACACCAAGTCTGCCTTAGCTTCATTCACTTCATAAGAAGCAGAGATAATTGGAGACGTTCGACTCCCCCAGTCACTTCTGTGACTCATGGTTTCTATGGTTCCATATTTCTTGTTCTCTGCTCTCTCTTCCCTTCATCCGATTTTCATTCTTCTCTCCAATAAGAGAAGAAAATAGAAATTCACTTGAGGATTCAGCCAAGGAAGGCTTACTCTACTCCAAATTATAGTGGGTGGTGGAAACTGCCTACTGAGAAGCTGCCTGGTGGAAGATCACTGAGTCCCTCACAAATACATCTCACACACACACACACACACACACACACACACACACATACACACATGCACACACAGTTTCTACCCCCAATATAAAAGCAGGAGGCCACAGACTCAGGTAACTAAGAGAATGGGCTTTGAGGTGGCTTGATATACCTGGGCTCCTGGGTCCCACTACTTCCTAGCTATGTATGGCTGAGAAACTCAGTTTATCTCTGAGTCTCAATTTCCTGTGAAATGAACATAAGAACTGTTCCCACCTTGTAGGGTTGTTGTATGAAGCAAAAGGACTCCTTCTCATTCCTTTATTTATCTGACAAACAGTTATTGTCTGGCACTCTGTGCCAGACACTGTTGTGGGCTCTGGATTTCTGCAGTGAACAAAACCAATTCCCTGTCCTTAGGGAGCTCACAGTATAATTGAGATGTGGATGAGTATTAAATTAACAAATGACCACATCACATAGTGTCATAAGAGCATATAATGTAAGGGCATATAATATAAATTTTGGCCAGGTTTTCCCATAGTCACATTTCATTTTCTTTCTCAACTGGAAAAAAAAAGGTGGTAGATTTATTACATGTATAAACCTATTCTTGGTCTATCAATTTGATGAGGAAAGCTGTCACTGAACTGCATAGATCTGCAGAATGCAGTACTGTAGTCATGAGCTACTTCTGACATTGAGCATTTGAGATGTGGCTGTCCTCAACTGTGATATGCTCTAACTATAGAATGCAAACTGGATTTCAAACACTTAATACAAAAAAGAATGTAAAAGATCTCAGTAGGATTTACATTGATCACATATTGAAATACAGTATTGGAATATATAGAATTAACTAAAACAATGTTAAAATTATCACTTACCTTTTTTCGCTTTTATTATGTGGCTCCTAGACAATTTTAAATTTCATTTATGGCTTCCATAGGGGGCTCACAACATATTTCTATTACACAGAACTGATATAGATAATATTTTATTTCATGAATGAACACATGACCCTTTAGAGTTTCTTGCATCATAGTTGAAAATAAGTCTTCTTGTCCATCACTGACTTATGAAGGACTTTTTTTCCCTCCTAGTTTCTCCATCTGACTAATTCTGTCTCAAAGCTCTCTTAACCATATAACCTAGACACAAAGTTCATTGATATGGAAGTGATATTAATGTCATAATTTCGGAATTACAAATGCACTACAGGGTCAAGAGGAAGGCGATAAATGAATTGGAAGAAATCCGCTTTGGACAACATGAACATTTGTCACTTGGATTCAGAAAAAAACACAACACTGAGGCCGGGTGCAGTGGCTCATCCCTGTAATCCCAGCACTTTGAGAGGCCAAGATGGTTGGATCACTTGAGGTCAGGCATTCGAGACCAGCCTGGCCAACATGATGAAACCCCCATCTTTACTAAAAATACAAAAATTAGCTGGGCATGGTGGCGCACACCTGTAATCCCAGCTACTTGGATGGCTGAGGCATGAGAATCGCTTGAATCCGGGAGGCAGAGGTTGCAGTGAGCCGAGATCATACCGCTGCATTCCTGCCTGGGCAACAGAGCGAGACTTCGAGACTTCGTCTCAAAAAACAAACAAACAAAAAAACAGAAAAAAAAAAAAAAACCACAACACTGAATAAGCCTCTGTTTTCAGTGGGAAAGTTTACACAGTAATTAACTGACAAAGCAGAAGTCACAGGAGCTATTCAGTCAGCGACAAATGTGAGAAAATGATTCCAGCATGCCTGGGTCTGACTACCTTCCCTAAGTAACAAATTCTCTTTCACAAACAGGTAGGCAGCTGATTTTAATAAGAGCTCTCATAAAACCCATCTGGAAGGTAAATAGATTTACATTTTTAATCTGACATTATTGAAACATTTTTCCTGCATGGTGAAAACTCCACTTTAATAATTTAAGTTGTTTTTCTCGGTGTACCTTAGCCTACTTCTTTTAAACACCTCTTCATTTCAAGTTAGGTTCTTTGGGCTTGATTGGTTTTAATGTTTAAACACTTAATTTCAGGCACTGTTAGATTGCTAACCTGGGTCTGATGTGTGGGTTTGTAGTCAACTTAGGCGGGGGGCGGGGGTGTGGCAGAGGTGATGGGTTTTGCTGAGCTTTCAGTGAATTCCCACACTCAGTGTGGAAGGGAGTGAACAAAAGGGACAGGGAAAGGAAACTATCTTACAGCTTTCAGGGCCTTGCAACATACACGTAGTGAAAACGCAGAATCATGAGTATTGTTGGCTTTTGTTAGGCATTGATAGCAGCTCCTCAAAAATAGCTAGTGCCCTCTACCTTGTCGTCTAAGCTAGAACTGTGGGTATAAGCCTAGAGTCCTCGCTCTGCTGGACTCCCCTGCATCATCAGTCACCAAGATTTGTAGATTCCATAAGCTAATGTCTCTTAAATCCAATTCACCCCTCTCCCTCTCCCTCACTCTTTCTTTCCCTTAGTTCACACCCCCATGTACCTGTGCCTGGGTTATTTCAACAGCCTCCTCACTGGCTTTTTCAGGTCTTGTCTTACTCCTGTTCAACCTGCTTAAAAGCTCCATGGCTCCCTGTTGGTGATAGGACAAGCTCAGACTCCTTAGCTGAGTATATCCTTTATGATCTGCTGCTGAGGCTGATGACCATGGGGTAGGGGGCAGAGAAAAGGATGAAGAGTAAGACCAGAGGGTTGGGCAGGAAAGTTTTAGGGACGTAAAGGAGTTTAGTCATTATGCTATGAGCAATGGAAAGTCACAAATGCTCAGGGTTTTTTCCTGTTGTCTTTTTTTTTGAAACGGAGTTTTTGCTCTTGTCATCCAGGCTGGAGTGCAATGGCATGTGATCTCAGCTCACTGCAACCTCTGCCTCCTGGGTTCAAGTGATTCTTCTGCCCCAGCCTCCTGAGTAACTGGGATTACAGGTGTGTGCCACCACGCCCAGCTAATTTTTGTATTTTTAGTAGAGACATGATTTCACCATGTTGGCCAGACTGGTCTCGAACTCCTGACCTCTGGTGATCCACCCACCTCGGCCTCCCAAAGTGCTGGGATTACAGGCGTGAGCCACCACGCCTGGCCACAAATGGTCAGTTTTAAGCAGGGGCATGGCATGAACAGATTTGCATAGCGGTTAAAAGCAAGGGTTCTGGAATTCAACTTAAATTCAAATCTGACCATGCCACCTAGTTGTGTGTCCTTGGGCAACTTACTGAAGCTTTTTGGACCAGTTTCTCTGATTATAAAATGAGAGTTAAAACCTCTATGAGATAGGCACACTTTGTGAGAGCTAAATGAGATCATGCTTAGCATACTACTTGGCACACAGTAAGCATCCCACTATTTTTTTATTCATTTATTTTTTATTTCCATAGGTTTTGGGGGAACAGGTGGTGTTTGGTTACATGAATGTTATTTAGTGGTAATTTCTGAGATGTTGGTGCACCCATCACCTGAGCAGTATACACTGTTCCCAATTTGTAGTCTTTTATCCCTCATCCCCCTCCCACCCTTTCCCCTGAGTCCCCAGAGTCCTTTCTATCATTCTTATGCCTTTGCATCCTCATAGTTTAGCTCTCACTTATGAGTGAGAACACGCAATATTTGGTTTTTCATTCCTGAGCTACCTCACTTAGAATAATGTCTCAATTCCATCCAGGTTGCTGTGAATGCCATTATTTCTTTCCTTTTTATGGCTGAGCAGTATTCCATGGTATACATATACCACAATTTCTTTATCCACTCATTCATTGATGGGCATTTGGGCTGGTTCCATATTTTTGCAATTGTGAATTGTAAGCACCCCACTAATTTTAACTATCATTACTATTAATAATTCCTACTCTTTCTATGCTTTTTCTAACCCCTCAAGACTGAGTTCAGCCCTGTTCCCATGTGCTTTTATAACACCTTGCATTTATCCCTGTTTGTAGGACTTCTGAATCTGTATCTTAATTGAGTATTAATGTGTTATTTCCCCCATCAATCCATAGCTCCCTACGGTTGGGAACTATGGCTGATGCGTGGTAGAATGAATGACTACCTTCAATTGCTTTATACTTCGATTCACATTATCTCTTTTGTTCTCTCCTTATCTCCACTTTACAGTTGTGATAATAAAGGCTCAGAGAAATCAAGTTTTAAGCCCTAAGTCCTGCAGTGAATGAGCAGCAGAGCTGCAGCTCGTCTCAGTCCTGTGGATCGCACCATGGCCTGGAAGGAAAAGTTTAGGGCAATATAACCCCCTACAAACAACCTTCCGACAAGAGGACAAGTGTTTTCACAAGGCTTCATGGAATGTCGAAGTGGAGGAACAAAACACTTCAGCTGGAAAGATAGCACATAGCCAGAAGTCAACCCCAACCCTACCAAAAATAATGATGCCAGGAAACAGAGCTACATACACAAAAGGGAATGTGTACCAGGATACACATAATAAAGTCACCTTGGCAAAGCTGGTATCCTCCTGGCCAAGCCAGAGGAGTGATTCAACTTAAGAGAAAATTGGAAGGAGGACATGTGCCCTAGCTAGTCCATCTGAAGAGGTGTGCCAACCCACCCTGCAATGTTCAAGTCCCTGCCTTATCATTATAAGCCTGATCATAGCAAAAATATGGAGTGGTTACAATGAAAATTTCCAAGGTAGAAAAAGATCAGGCAGTGGTAATACTAGAAGCTGGCTGCATAGGCCAGTGGCTCAAATCTCACAGTGCAGGGCCAAAGAAGACAAAGTTGAAGTCGATACTGATGTGGGCCAGTTGGCTTTGCACTGAGGAGGAAAAAAGTTCTATGGTCACTGGCTAGAACCTTCATCCCACTCAGTCATCCTGCCAATGCTGGTGTTTGGGATCAAAAAGGGATTGGGAAAGAGTGTGGAAGACCTATTGCCAGTGTTGACAAGCAGGGCTGACATTCAGACAGAGCACACCAATACAGCCAGCCAACTGTCGAATAATAAAACACCTCCGGACCAGTTGGGGGCTGACCCCCCCGGGTGCCTCCCATATCACCCCAGCTGCCCCTGGAGCTCCCTGATGCAGTGACCATTTAGGATTAAAGCCTCATGCAACTAGTTGATGCCTCGTCTTTTGAATATCATTTCTGATTACAACTACTGGAAAATAGCAAATAACTACCATTCATTCATTTATTCATTTGCTCAATTCTTTGGTGGGGGGAGCATGCATGCTACTTTTTTACATTGATACATAATATTTTATATATGTGTGGGGTACATGTGATATTTTATTACATGCATGGAATGTGTAATGATGAAGTTAGGGTTATTGGCATATGTATCACCTTGTGTATCTATCATTTCTATGTGCTGGGAACAGTTCAAGTCCTCTCTTCTAGCTACCTTGAAATATATCATTGTTGTTAACTATGGTCACCCTGATGCAGGGCAGGCGAGCCCCAAAGTGGGGCTTAGCCCTCGGGGGTTCTTGATTTTGCCCAGGAAAGAATTCAAGGGCAAGCCAGGGGTAGAAGAAAAGAGCTTTATTGAGGCAGCAGTGTTACAGCACTGGTGGTGTTACTGCTCCGTGACTGCTCCTGCAGAACAGGGCTGCCCTGTAGGCCGAGAGTAGCAACTCAGAGCAGTTTTGCATCACATTTATACTCACCCACATAATAACACGCAGATTAAGGGGCGATTTATGCAGACATTTCTAGGGAAGGAGTAGTAGCTTTTGGGTCATCGGGTCATTACCACAGAAAGGGGCAATCACTCCTGGGTGTTTCCATAGCAGTGGTAAACTGACATGGCACACTGGTGAGTGTGTCTCATTGGAAAGCTGCTCCCACCTCGGCCCTGTTTTAGCGAGTCCCCAGTCTGGTTGGTGTCCGAGCCCCGCCTCTGGAGTTGAGTCCCACCTCCTACTTCAACCCTACACTGCTGTCCATCATTAGAACTGTAATCCCAGCACTTTGGGAGGCCAAGGTAGCACCTATTATTTTTCTCATTTTCAGAAGAAGAATCTGTATCTTATTAAAAGTTGCAGAGTTAGGAAATGGCTGAAGATTCAAACTGTGTTGTCCAAATCCTTAGTCTAGGCTTTAAACCATGTTAAAATATCGCCTATACTGGGACTTCAGAAAGAAAGCAAACCATAAAAAGCAACTATTTGGGGACAGGGTGAGAGCGAGGCAGAAACAATATTAGGGAATTTTTTATACACTCACTCTCTCTTTGTGGAAATATGGAAAGACAGGAAAATGTCTTGTAATGACTTGAGGAGACAGAATTATGGACAGTTCCCTATGCCAAAACTCTCAAATGTACATACATTTTTTAAAGCACACGTGTTATTCATTATTCCGAGGAAAACCCAACACATATTGAGGCCACTGATGCTTCATGCCACAGCTCCAGGAAGGCTGAGGACCAAATATTTAGCATAATTCTTCATTCTATGATTCTTCTTGGCTTGGATTTTCAAGAAGTTGAGAACACTGCTTTCTCTGAAGCAAAATAAAACTGTTTTGGATAAAGTTAAAGACAGATGACATTTAGAGTGATAAGCAGAGCTGATATATCCATATTCAGCCAGTCTATCTACATTCAGAGGAATGAGAACCAAGAATTTGGAATGGATTTATTAACAACTCATCACACTATGAGAGCGTGGGGTAATATTTTGTATGTGATGTACCAGCTGTCTACAGAGCTAAGCAAACCCAGAGATCACAGACTTTAGTCTCCTGTCTAGGTTCCAAGTAAATGGTCTTCAGGGAGACACCAAGAATAAAGGCTGCGAAAATGACATTAGAGCTCTTTGGGCTCCTTCTGATCATTGCTGCACCCTGTTCTCACTATCAATTTGATTTCACCAAATGATTCCATAAGTGAATTTGGAGCTTGTGAGTCATGACTGAAACTGACATGTTTGCTTGCATTTTCTACCTCTGAGTCCTCCTGTCCAAGTTTTCTCAAGCTTGGTGTCTGTCCTACTTTAAATAAGATAGGAATGAGACAGCTGACATATTTCCTGCAGAGACTGTGCCTCTAGTTGGTAAATCACAATCAGGAAGCTGACACCCATAATTTTTCTTCTCGGAGAAGAAAAAAAAAAAAAGAGAACCATTAGGATATGTTTGAAAGATCTAACATACCCAAAGAGGAAGAACTGTGAAGGGTTGTGGCAATCAAAAAGATAATATGGTTTCCATTACATAACCCTATCGAAGTCATTACACCATAAGATCAGTCCTGAGGGGAAGTCGTCTCTAATAAATTCCAGTCTAAACGGACAAAAAATAACTTACATGAAGTTTTTAATTGGAGTCTTCCAGAAATTAAGAGGAACCTGATTTGTAAAGTCCTACACATACCCAACATATTTCATAATCACTTTTCTCAGTTTTCTTACACTGTAGTGTATGTAGCCTCTTCCTGCAAATTTCTGGAAACATTTATTATGATCTTTTGTTCAGCAAATATTCACTTTCTTTCCACCTCCCACTGTGGGAAGAAGAGACTTTGCAGCCCACCGATGTTGGGCTAAGCCATGTGACTTGCTTTGGCCAAAGGAATATTAGCAGATCTAACATCGCAGAGGTCTTAAATTTGCTTGTGGGTTTTGGTCTGACCTCTTATGCTCTGGTAATCTACCATGAGAATATGCCCTGGGTATTTTCTGCTCTATTCATATGTGTCCCAAACCATGCATACATGGGGCAGACATGAACCTATTCACAGCTTGGATCCAATCCAGTCAGCCCACAGCCTGATGCAGAACCACCCAGCTGAGCCCAGCCCAGACACAGTCAGTCTAACTGTAGCCAACAGCAGACCCATGTGCAGCAGAATAACGTTTGTTGTTAGCCACTGGGTTTTGGGTGGTCTGTCAATGGTCAGTGTGTCTTCCTGTTCTTCTCTTTCTCATTCCACCTAATTCTAATTCACAAAGCCCCAAAGCATGGCAAGCTTCTCCTTCAAAGGAGAGAGAAGGAAGAGCAATATGATTAAGCAAAATCAGGATCTTCTTTAACACACACAGGAAAGAGCAAAGTTTGGAATTATTCATGTGTTGATAATTTCTAAATTGTCACACCTGTGATAATAGCTACCATTTGACAGGCTCGGTGTTAAACACTTTATAAACTTGAACATATTTAATCCACACAATAACTTAAGAAGTCAGGATAAATGTTACCATTTGGTAGACAAAGAAACCTGAGGCTTAGAGAGGTTATGTATTTTCTTAGAAGGCGCCAGAGCTAGGGTTTAAATACTCAGATTTAGGCAAATCCCAATAATTATTGAGCGACCTAGGCAGTCAACCAGTCTTAAAATGAAATACCATTCTTTAATGCAACAAATTGGCAAAGATTACGAACACTCTAATACTGAATATTGGCAAGAATACCAGAGAGGCATCTTATAAAATACAGGTGAGAATGTAAATTGGAGCTAACATTCTGGAAAGTAATCTGACAATATTTATGAAGAGCTTGAATATTTGCATATCCTTTGAACCAGTAATCCCACTTCTCTGATTATATTCTAAGGAACTAATCAGAGATGCAGCCGAAGATTCATGTACGAAGTTGTTCTTCAAGACGTTGCTTATCACAGTGCAAAATTGGAATCAACTGAAATGTAAAATAATTGCAGGATGGTTAAATAATTCGTATTGCTACAGGCTGGAACAATATGCAACCATTAAAAATCATATTTCAATGACATGAGAAAAGGTCTGCAATAACTAAGTGAAATAAAAACAGGATATAAAGGCCGGGTGCGGTGGCTCACGCCTGTAATCCCAGCACTTTGGGAGGCCGAGGCGGGTGGATCATGAGGTCAGGAGATCGAGACCACGGTGAAACCCCGTCTCTACTAAAAATACAAAAAAAAAAAAAAATTAGCCGGGCGTAGTGGCGGGCGCCTGTAGTTCCAGCTACTCGGGAGGCTGAGGCAGGAGAATGGCGTGAACCCGGGAGGCGGAGCTTGCAGTGAGCCGAGATTGCGCCACTGCACTCCAGCCTGGGTGACAGAGCGAGACACCGTCTCAAAAAAAAAAATAAAAAAAATAAAAATAAAAATAAAAACAGGATATAAAACTGAATATAAAGTGTGACTCCAGTTTAAAGAGTATGTTTGTTCATCTATGTGTGCCTGTGATTGTCAGATAATAAAATAATATTAGCAATGCATTATTTCTGCATAATGATTATTTTTTGTGCGTTTTCAAAGTATCTTTTTGTATTTCTCAAATGCATTGAATGAGCAAGTGTTACTTTTGTAACTAGAAAAATATACTTAAAATGATTATTTTTAAAAACAGCAATTTTTATCCCTACACAATATAAGCAGTAGGAGGACAGGTCTTTACCTGTTCTGTTCACTGATACATGCTCAGAATAGTGTCTGGCTCCTAATATGTGTTCAGTAAATATTTGTTGAATGAATGAAAGTTATAGCCTGTGGTGTGTGCAAATCTATTGTGTGTGTAGGTTATCTGTGGTTTCATAAATAACCATCCTCAAAACAGCAACCATTGTAATAGGCTCATGCATTCTGTGGGCCAGGAGTTCCAACAGGACAAAGTGGGATGTCTTGTCTAATTCCATGATATCTGGAGCCTCAGCTGGGAAAAAAATGTGTGTATTACTCTGCTTTTGCTGCCATAACTATGTTGTTATTGACTTATTGATTTACATATTTTATTTAAGACAGGGTCTCACTCTTGTCACCCAGGCTAGAGTACAGTGAGTGGCACTATCATGGCTCACTGAAGCCTTGACCTCCCGGCCTCAAGTGATCCCCAGTGATCCCCCTGCCTCAGCCTTCCGAGTAGATGGGACTACAGGTGTGTGCCACAACACCCGGCTAATTATTATTATTATATTCTGTATAGGTGGGTGTCCCACTCTGTTGCCTGGGCTGCCTTGAAATCCTGGGTTGATGTGATCCTTTCACCTCAGGCTCCCAAAGTGCTGAGATTACAGGTGTGAGCCACCATGCCTGGCCTGGCCTGGCTGCCCTAACTATGGCTGTCATAGAATGGGTGGCTTAAACAACAGAAATTTATTTTCTTACTGTTCTGGCTCCTGGGAAGTTCATGATCAAGGTGGCAGCCCATTTGGTTTCTGGCGAGGGCTCTCCTTCTGGCTTACAGGGGGCCCCCTTCTTACTCTGTCCTCATACAGTTGAGAGAGAGGAAGGAGCTCTTTGCTGTCTCTTCTCATTAAGACACTGATTTTATCAAACCGGGTCTCCCCTACACCCCGTCATGGCCTTATCTAACCCTAATCACCTCTTAAAGGTCCCATCTCCAAATACTATCATTTTGGGGATTAGGGGTCTGACATATGCATTTTGGGGGTACACAAACAGCCCATAACAACATGAATAGCTGCAGGTGACTTGAAATGTTAGAAGCAAAAATAGCCTGGAAAGGCTGGGTGCGGTGGCTCATGCATGTAATCCCAGCACTCTGGGAGGCCGAAGCAGGTGGATTATCTGAGGTCAGGAGTTCAAGACCAACCTGGCCAACATGATGAAACCCCGTCTCTGCTAAAAATACAAAAAATTAGCCAGGCATGGTGGCGCACGCCTGTAATGCCAGCTACTCGGGAGACTGAAGCAGGAGAATCACTTGAACCCAGGAGGTGGAGGTTGCAGTGAGCTGAAATCACACCACTGCACTCCAGCCTGGGCAACAAGAGTGAAACTCCATCTCAAAAGAAAAAAAATAAAGAAAAAGAAATTGCCTGGAAACTTCTTCCCTCATATGCCTGGGGTCTGGGACGGGACAACTCTGAGGCTGGACTCAGCTGGGACCATCAGCTGAAACATCAACACATGCCCTTCCATCCAGCCTGGACTTTCACATTAGATTTTGCAAGAGTCCGCAATAAACCTTTGCTATGCTAAGCCACTAATACTTTGGGTTGATTGCTGCAGTGTAGCCTACCTTATCCTGGACTAAGAATGATTTTCAAGTATACGGTTATTTAATGTAATGAGATAAACCTTGTTAGCCTAGAGGCTAGCCTAAGGAATGTCTTTCCTTTCCACCATAGGCAATCTGGAAAGCTGAGCTTCTGCTCAGCGAGACACGTGAGATACGCATGACATGGACCAGGGTGCTCGCCTTGTCATGCCACTTACAAACAGTGTGGCCTTGGATAAATTACAGAATCTTTCTGAGCCTCAGTTTTCTCACCAGTAAAATGGGAAGATGATTATAACACTTATCTCAGGATTGTGAGAATTAAGGGATAGGTATCTATTATATGGCACTGGGCACAGCATAAGCACTTATTAAATGTTAGCTGTTATATTACTTCCATTATTACTTCTATTATTATTATTATTATTTTTTGAGGTGGAGCCTCACTCTGTCGCCCAGGCTGGAGTGCAGTGGCACGATCTAAGCTCACTGCAACCTCCGCCTCCTGGGTTTGAGTGATTCTCCTGCTTCAGCCTCCTGAGTAGCTGGGACTACAGGCGCCCGCCACCATGCCCGGCTAATGGTTTTGTATTTTTTTAGTAGAGACGGGGTTTCACCGTGATAGCCAGGATGATCTCAATCTCCTGACCTCGTGATCTGCCCACCTCGGCCTCCCAAAGTGCTGGGATTACAGGCGTGAACCACCGAGTCCGGCCATATTACTTCTATTATTATACAGTCCGCAATCTCTTGAGCTGAAGGCTAGGAGGGTGTCCACTATGCACAGTTAAAAAAAAAAAAAAAAAAAAAAAGCTGAATCAGCACATCCAGAGAGAAAATTGAGTATCTTTTGTGTTTGGTTAGGGCTGAGAGAAAAAAGGAGGCTTTTGAACTCCCAAAGCCATAAACGAGAAGTGAGGAGAAAGGCCTCCCCTTTTGATATATTAAATATCTACTTATGTATACACCACCTGGTTCCATATAAGAAGAGAGAGGAAGACAGACTTCATGCCATCTCATCTTCTGGCAACAAAAACAGGTGCTAAAACAAGGACGGGATGTAAAATAGAAGCAGAAAGTGGCTCCCAAAAAAATCTTACCATGGGAACCTCACTGCAGACTCTGGCTGTGCGCTAAGCTCTCTAGCCGACTGTGCAATAAGTGCAGCCGTGGTGGTTACACAACCTCGCAAGGTTGCACAATCCAGTTTAGGTTCTTCATCACCCAGTCACGCCATTGCCAAAGCATGCTCCCAAGGGAGGGGCTGGGAGGCAAGCCGCTGGCAAAGGTGACTTGAGTAAGGTGCTGGGTGTCATGCCTAGCACTGTGCCACAGGGGCTGAGTCACCCCAGAAATTTAAGGTGTGGCCGCCAGGCCCCTGCCAAGGAGGGCCGGGGGACCCGGAAAAGAGAAGAATCCCATTTTTGCCTTTATCACCATCACTCCAATTCAGAGGAGGGTACGTCTGAAAAAAATTCTCTCTAGCTTGCACTTTTTAGGCCGTTTAATTTTTTATTGTTGAGTATGAACAGTGAAACAGAGCAGTTTCCTGTTTCTTGGCCCCAACCCCCCAACCACCGCTGAGAAATTTGAGTTTAAAACTGCCGGAGAGGAACATTTAAATTCTATAAATTAGCTTCACTAAAGATGCTTAAGCATTTATGAAAACATTCCCATTTTACTCTCGGCGTTATAAAATCTTAAAGAAAAAAAAAAATCCCAAATTGCCACGTGAAGCTAAGCTGGCAGAGAGAGCGATCTGCTCAGTGCAAATATGCCAACAGCTTTACAAATGAGGAATATAGAATCAGGATTAAGAGCCCGCAGATCATTTATCAGTGACAAAACAAAGACTCCTAGCCTCTGGACTCAGAGTCCGCGGAGAATCTAATCGGCTACATCGCATGCCCCAGAAGCAGTGTTCAGTGTTAACTCATTTATACCCACATTAATGCTGGCAGCAGGGAACTCCGTTGTGCCTGCCTTGGTGCCCAGAAGAGCTATTTTGGTGTAAAACAGAGCTCGGCTTCAGGGAAAACCTGGGTTTAAATCCTGGTTTAGCTACTAACCAGCTGGTGACGCTGGACAACGAACTTTATCATTAGAAGACTCAGTTTCCTCCTCTGAACACTGGAGAGAATAATAACATGCAGGCATTCAAGAAGGGATAATTTCCCTGATAACCTTCACTTCTAGACAAACACAATAAACATAACCAAACGACGGAGTGGTTCCATCAAATGTACTTTTTTTTTTTTTTGAGATGGAGTCTCACTCCGTCAGTCAGGCTGGAGTCTTGCTCCGTCGCCCAGGCTGGAGTGCAGTGGCGCGATCTCTGCTCACTGCAACCTCTGCCTCCTGGGTTCAAGGGATTCTCCTGCCTCAGCTTCTCGAGTAGCTGGGTCTACAGGCACCTGCCACCACACCTGGTTAATTTTTTGTATTTTTAGTAGAGATGGGGTTTCACTGTGTTAGCCAGGATGGTCTCGATCTCCTGACCTCCTGATCCACCCACCTCGGCCTCCCAAAGTGCTGGGATTACAGGCGTGAGCCACCGTGCCTGGCCCAAATGTACATTTAAATAAACATGTTCGGACACACACCCCCATTCCCACCACGAAAAGGAGAGTGTGCCGAAGAAAGAAAATAAGACTCCAGTTCTTTTTTTTAACTCCTATTATCTACTTTTCTTATTCTTCTGATGACACCTGGGCCTTCTATGGCGCTGGGGTACAAAAAGGTCACAGCCAAAAGCAAAGAGAAGCTGATGACGTTAATTTTGGTTTCTGATTCTGAGGGTTTAGGTTTAGGAATAATTTTGACACTTGGCTTTATAGAAATTTCCCCTTAAGTGCTTACTTTAAAATCTGTGACTTCCCCACCGTGCAGCCCCCAATCCTCTAAACAAACATACCGTTGTCACTACTCTCTTAACCTCCAGGCAGCAGGGCACAGAGGAAGGAACACTGGCATTGTCTGGCTGGGGGACCACAGGCCTTGCTTTGTCGTCTAACTTCCAAGCCCCTTCAAAGAGATTAGAGCCAAAATGGAAGCTCTTGTTCACTACAACTTATTAAAATGCTATATGTGTTTCCAGTTTTATCTGCCTAATTTGCATCTTTTCTGTCCCTCAAAATTAAGTGGTCACCCCAATGGATAAATACCATCTCTGAAGCTATATTCTGAGCAGTGCTTAGAGATTAGACTTTCCAAGGACGAACACCTGGTTTAATAACTATCATTGCCAACTATGCGTTATCACTATTTGCACAGTTTTACCTTTAATATGACACTTTTATTTTCATGGCATTTCATTACAGTCTCCATGGACAATGGCTTAGCAGAGAGGAATTGAGGAATTCTCAGGGATTTTTTTTTTTTTTTTTTTTTGAGATGTAGTCTCACACTGTCACCCTGGCTGGAGTACAATGGCAAGATCTTGGCTCACTGCAACCTCCACTTCCCGGGTTCAAGCGATTCCCCTGCCTCAGCCTCCTGAATACCTGGGATTACAGGCACCTACCACCACGCGCGGCTAATTGTTTGTATTTTTAGTAGAGACGGAGTTTCACCATATTGGCCAGGCTGGTCTCGAACTCCTGACCTCGTGATCCACCCGCCTCGGCATCCCAAAGTGCTGGGATTAAAGGCATGAGCCACTGCGCCCAGACTAGGCATTCTCAATTTTAATGCTTGCTTAGTGATGTGCTGGACCAGCACTTTTCCTTTTTTGTTTTTATTTGTTGAGATGGAGTCTCACTCTGTCTCCAGGCTGGAGAGCAGTGGCGCAATCTCGGCTCACTGCAATCTCCACCTCCTGGGTTCAAGCGATTCTCCTGCCTCAGCCTCCCAAGTAGCTATGATTACAGGTGCACACCACCACACCCAGCTCATGTTTGTATTTTTAGTAGAGACAGGTTTTCACCATGTTGACCAGGCTGGTCTTGAACTCCTGCCCTTGATCAGCACATTTCAATGCAACTTTCTGGGATGCTATGAGGCTTCTCTATCTGTGTTGTCCAGTCTGGTAGCTCCCAGCCATACAGCAATAGCACTTGAAATGTGACTAGCACAACTGAGGAACTGAATTTTAGAAGTATCATCTTTAAATAATTTGCATTTAAATATAATTATCACATGAGACTAGTTGCTACCATATGGCACAGTGAAGCGCTAGACACTACCCACTTAGGACTTGTGCTAGACCAGTGCTGTCCAATGGAAATATAATGTGAACAACATATATAATTTAGTTTTTTCTAGTAGTCACATTAAAATAAGGAAAAAGAAAGAGGGTGAAATTAATTTCAATAATATATTTTATGACTGACTATTCAAAATATTATTCCAACCTATAATCAATTAAAAAATTAATGAGCTATTTTACAATCCTTTTTTCATGCTAAGTCTTCAGCATTTGGTGTGCCTTTTATAATTATAACACATCTCCCTTTAGACTGGCTGTATTTCAAGTGCTCAACAGCCACATGTAGCTAGTGGCTAACATATTGGACAATATAACACAGATGTTAGCCACCCTGAGGCTAACTTTTCCATCTATAACATGAGCATGCTTATAGCAACAAGAATCAAAAACACTCTTGTCTTTTAACTCAGGATGCTAAACAATGTTAAACATAAATGCCAAACTTGCTATATTTATTTTTACTAAAGTATACATAGCTATGCAAAATATTTGGTGTTTCCTTTTTAAAGATGTTTCTTGTTCTTTTGCTTTGAATTAAATTCACTAATTTCACCATGTCAATATTTACTGCTAATTATACAAGAACATCGACAACTTAAAGAAATGCAATGTGTGTATCATAGAATTCTTAAGCTCAGCACCTACTAATTTCCATGTCAATAATTTCCATTAGTGTAATGGGACACAATAGAAGCTGCTCCTGGAATAGAAATGGGTAGTGAAGAAAACAATTATAGAGAATCATTGGGCAGCAAAGTAGATAACCAATAAGCCAATGACCTGATCAATGGGTATTAGATACATTAAATGCAAAAGATGATCCTGAAGTGTCCATTAGCAGAGATTCTACAAATATATTACCTAAAAATAATCAATACAGCCTGCTGACAATGTAACCTATAATAGTGGTTTCAGAAGCAATTTCAAAAACGTGCACTGCTCACACTTGATTGTCTTTTCTACTTTTACGCTGCAAACCATACCTTTCCCTATCTCCATCTTAAGTCCCTTCTTTAAGGCTTTTTCTATAATAGTTTGTTGTTTCATTCTTACCACGCAGTAAGAAGAAATGGAAAAAGGGAGTCATGTGGGTTTTCTGTCTCTCCAGGACACAATTTGATGAAACATGACCAATATTTGCTGATGGCTTTGAAGACAAAACTATGACATTACAGCCTTTGCTTTTAAAGGTAGAGGAAACTTGTGAGAAAGTTAGCATGGGGGTGTGTAATGGGAAGCACGAGTTGTAAAGATTGGATGCTTCCTGTTAAACTTGGACAGGAAATTTGTTTTGTCATGATTGTCCAGAATGTCAGCTTGGCTCCTCACTCGAAAAAGGGAAACAAAGAACAATTCTTGTGTCCTTGTGTGCCGCCAGACTAATCAGCATCGTTCCTTCCACTTTACAACAGTTTATGGAGTTTGATTTTGTATACCCCATAAGTGTTAACACATTACAAAGTTAGTTGACTGGGAGAGGACAGGATAATGATCTTACTATTATATATTATTTAACTGGCATTAATCTTTCATTTGCCTCTCTGGCAAGACCAAGATTTTTCTTTGCTCGTGGAAGTGATCAGGAGTGTGCTACATAGGTGCTATACTCACTTGTGAAAGACTGGCCCTGCCGCCAATGAGCTTGATGCCAGGATAGAGGCAGGAACCCAGAAGCCTCTTTATGCCTCTTCTATTTTCACCCTTCACAGTATGGCTGGAAAGGAAGCAGAGACCTAACATCTCCTGAAGACCTACTATGTACCAGGCACCACGCTAGGCACAGGAAGATAACATCTAATTTTCATTGATATTTGTTTCCACAAAGGCATTGTTAGTGATCAGAAAAGTGCGTTATTTTGAGCATAGAGAGGAGAAAAATCCTCTGCCCTTTCCAGTAGCAAAATCCTGGAATCCCAAGATTCTAGAAGAAAATGTCAGCAGGGCCCTTTGATATTTTTTGTTCATAAGGAAGGAAATTAATCTAGGGGTGGTGAGGTGGGTTGTTGTTTGCTCCTCTCTAACGCTAAGGTAATGGTAGTTCTACTGCTATGTCCCAGGATTAGGCCGCTTAAAATGAGGCTAGTAAAAGCCAGAAACATTATATTTTCACAGAAGCAAATAATATTAGGTTTCAAGAGCTAGAAGTTCTAGAAAAGGGAAACAGCCCTTTGGTTGCACATGTAAAAGTAAGTAACATATCCATCATTTTTAAGAAAAATTATGCAATAAATATTAATATAAAAGTTGATGTAAAATAGAATACTTTAAAAAGTAAAACCATGACTCATACAAACAGAAAGTGAACACATGTCAAATATTTTATTTCACTCATTAATTAATGAGGAAAACAGTAAGACGTTATAACAGGTTCAAAGGAAATCAAAGAGTGGATACACATATGGGCAATCAAGAGTGCCGACAGCTGAGTGTGGTGGCTCACACCTGTCATCCCAACACTTCAGGAGGCCCAGGGAGGAGGACTGCTTGAGCCCAAGAGTGTGAGAACAGCCTGGGCAACATAGTTAGATCCCATCTCTACCAAAAATTTAAAAATTAGTTGGGCTTGGTGGTTGGTGGCCGTAATGCCTAGATGAGGCTGAAGGGGGAGGATCTCTTGAGCCCAGGAGTTCAAAGTTGCAGTGAGCAACTGCAACTATGATCACACCACTGCACTCTGGCCTGGGCAACAGAGTGAAACCTTGTTTCAAACAAAACCAAAAAAACCACCAAAACAAACAAACAAACAAACAAAAACAAGAAAGCTGACAAATTTGTTGAAGAGATGCAAAAACTGGCTTGAGGGGAAATAGTAGGGACAATTTTCAAAATTAATTGCATGTTGTGGTAGCCAGAATTCTAAGAGTCCTACCTCTTAGTGTACATGCCTTGCATAACTTTTTTTTTTTTTTGAGACTGTAGAATTTCTTTTTTTTTTATCTTTTCTTTTCTTTTTTTTTTTTGAGACGGAGTCTCGCCCTGTTGCCTAGGTTGGAGTACACTGGTGTGATCTTGTATCACTGCAACCACCGCCTCCCGGGTTCAAGCAATCATCCTGTCTCAGCCTCACGAGTAGCTGGGACTACAGGTGTGCACCACCATGCCCAGCTAATTTTTGTATTTTTAATAGAGAAGGGGTTTCACCATGTTGGCCAGGCTGGTCTTGAACTCCTGACCTCAAGTGATCCACTCGCCTCGGCCTCCCAAAGTGCTGGGATTACAGGCGTGAGCCACCATGGCTGACCCCCTGCAGAATTTCTTCTTCTTGAGTATGGGCAGGACTGTGAGTATGATGGATTTCATTCTCATGATTAGGTTACATTGGTCAACAAAGGTGAAAGGAATTTGCAGGTGTAATTAAATGTTTGAGACAAATTAATCAAAAGGGAGATTATCCTGAGTAGGTATGATCTAAATCAAGCAAACCCTTAAATAAAGAGATTTAAAGTAGGAAAGATTCTGCTGACCTTTGAGAGGCAAATTGCCAAGTTGTGAAGGCCACGTGGTAGGGAACAGCAGGTGGCCTCTAGAAACTGAGAATAGCCCATGCTGACAGCCAGTAAAAAATCAGGGGGCCGGGCTCGGTGGCTCATGCCTGTAATCGCAGCACTTTGGGAGGCCAAGGTGGGTAGATCACGAAGTCAGGAGATCAAGACCATCCTGGCTAACACGGTGAAAACCCGTCAGTACTAAAAATACAAAAAATTGGCCGGGCATTGTAGCACGTGCCTGTGGTCCCAACTACACGGGAGGCTGAGGCAGGAAAATTGCTTGAACCCAGGAGGCAGAGATTGCAGTGTGCCGAGATTGTGCCACTGTACTCCAGCCTGAGCGACAGAGCGAGACTCCGTCTCAAAAAAAACAAAAACAACAACAACAACAAAAAAAATCAGGGACCTCAGTCTTAAACCACAAGATGAATTCTGTCAATGAAATGCACTTAGGAGAGAAACCCAAGCCCAGGACCACATCATGATTTCAACCTGCTGATATCCTGGGCAGAAGACCCAGTTAACCTGTGCCTGAACTCCTAACCCACAGAAAATACAAGATAATACATGTATGTTATATCAAGTTGCTTAGTTTATGGTAGTTTTTTAAAAACAGCAACAGAAAACTCATACACATGTCCATGGAAAATAATCACTTGTATTGCAATCAGTTAGCTGCAACTTACAAAGTTGTAAAATTGTTCAAGGCAGTGAAAGGTGCAGCAATCCCACAGAATCAAACACCCTGGAAGGTTGCCCAAGACAGCACATAGATTTTCACTGAAGGTACTCAGTAATGCATTTGGTCCATTTCAAAGTCCTTCCATACAGTGAAAAATGTTTCATTTATTTAAGTGCTTGTTTCACAGACAATATTGCTTTATTTTTATTTAAATAAACTTTTTTCCCTGAATGGATTTTAGACTACACTTTGTTTTTTAAATATGTGAGGGGTTGGTGGGGGTTGGTTAGCTTCCAGAAGTTGCAGAGTGGAGACCCAAGAAGGCTTTAGAAACAACCAGGAGGTCTGAGCCTCACCGCACACCAGTCATGGCTGAGAAAATGGACCTGGGCAAAATGGGACTGAGAGGTTTGTGTTTTATGTGCAGTGAATGCTAAGGCTGATTTTATCCATTCATCTATTTATTCACTCAACAAACAAATCCAGTACCTACATGGGGAAGAATTATTTAGTAAAAATAATGATAGCTAACACATACAAGCTCTTACCATGCATTAGTCATTTTCCTAAGCACTTTATTCATAGTAACCTATATAATGTTCACAATAACCCAATGAGGTATGTACTATTATTATCCCCGTGTTATAGATGATGAAACAAGCAGAAAAAGGTTAAGTGACTTTCCCAAAGTCCCACAGCTGGTGAGTGTGAGAGTTGGGATTCACACTCATATAGTCTGGGTCCTAGCTCTCATCCCCCACATGGTACCATCTTTATAGCTAGGATCTCTTGAGCCTAGACACCAGCTGCATCTGCTGGTATTTCTAAAGTATGCCTTACTTTGCAATTTACTTCTGTTGCCCCAAAGCTTCAGTATTGTCCATAGTAATAGTCCATCTTCAGCCAGACTACAGGAAATTAAAAATTTTTTACATTTTCCTATAGCCACAGTGTGTGGGCATGCTGATTGTACACAAAGTAAAACTAAGAGTTATTTTACTATCCTTGCAAATCTGTCACCCATTTAAAAATGTGTCTTTGCTCAATTCTGAGCCTTATTTCTGCTTTCCTTTTGAAGAAGTATATTTTCTCCTCTGCGGGTTGTGTCTTAGAAACTCTACTGCTCATCTCCCTACTAGGATTCAACCCCAAGCATAAGCTCTGTGGTGGTGAATACCCTGCAGCTGCCTGCAAACAATAAGTAATACAAAGGATGACTGAGGGTTTCAAGTTTCCTGTTTACAGCCTCCACCCAATGGAGATCTCTCTGGGAGAAATGTAAGGCTGGCAACAGATTAACAAGGGTTCAGTTATTTTGCAAAGGAGAACAATGGTTCTTCTGACCACTTTTGATTCATTCCATCCCTGGTTTCCATGGAGCATCATCGTAAGAGGATCTATGTGTGTGTCAATAGAGTGGCAGGAGAGAAGCAGCCCAGGGCAAACAAGGAAGCATCAGCCTGGTGAGTCTCCATTGGAAAGAGAACACCACCAGCTCTTGCGATCCGGTTCCTGTGTGGGCAGGCTGCTCTGCCAGGGGAAAGATGATGGGTAGAGTGGATAACACAGTCCCCACTCTGCAGTCTCATTCTTCCCTCCTCAGGAGAGCTCTCCCCTCAATTCTGTTCCCTTTTCAGGCTTATTCCTGTTTCCATCCTTCCCCTTTTATTGTGACTAGTTGGAAACATAATGTAGGGAATCATATGTGCCCGCTAAGCTGCCCCACAGGAGAAAACAGTTAAGGAAGAATTTTCTTTGATTGGCCCTGGAAGTCAGGGATACTATGCCAGACACCTGTTCCTTTTTGGCTGTCCAGAATCTAATCCCCCTTCTTTTGACAATTCCGCCATCCCTTCTTCTTTCTGCCAGGATGACTCACCCTGGCTCAGGACTAGGGCATGTGATTTAGGTTTAAGCCCATTGAGGTATTGCATTTCCTTGGACTCCAATGACTGGCTCATTGATAATTATGTGACTTAATTAGAGCCAATTAGAGACACAATGAGACTTTTGCAGGGAATTCTGGGAAGGAGACTCTCACTAGATCCTTGCTTGACTTGAGAGGTATGAGGTTGGAACGGCTGTAGCCATCTCCATCTATTGAGGGAACACGGGTTTGAGAACACAGTCAAGTCAGGACGAGAACAAGAGACGCTGGATCTTGAGGACAGTGCTTGAGCCCTCGAATCAATCAATGTCTAAAGTAAGTCCTGATTTCAGACATTCAGTACATGATTCAATAAAATTTCTTTGAGCACTATCTTAGGTTGGATTTTCTCTTTCTCACAACCAAAAAAGTTGTCCTTTTCCCACTAGGGAAAGTTGAGGGGAAGCTCCAAGAACAAGAGCAGCCAGGAGAGGGGCAGTTCACTGCCGTCAGCCAGGAAACTGATTCTCAACTGAGGCTATTGTCCCTTTACGTTTATCATGAAAAGGCAGAACTTGCAACATATGCTTTTAGAGCCATTAGCTTTTCCATTTCTGTCCATCAAAAACCTGACAGTTTTATGGGTGGTGGGGGGAATCTGTCCAGTTGTTTATTCACATGTTAGTCTCCCTTAGAGTGAACACAGACATGGGTTGATTCCTCAATAAAAGTCATCCATATCTGCTTTTGGTCACCATGCCTTTTAAATGCTTATGTTTGCACAATTACACCATCTTTTTAGCTAATGGAGGGTCGATGAAGACATTTGGCCAGAGGACCCTGAAACACCTGAATCCCACCTTTGGCTGGCTAGCCCCATTTCTCAGCAGTGCCTTCACAGGAGCGGTAAGTAGCACTTTATTTTTAGAGAGAGCTTTGGTGAAAAACCATAATGCAAACTTGAGCAAGAGTGGACCTCATGCTTCTTGCCTGTCATGGTTCAAGCCCAATTCTCAGGTATTACCTGTTCGACTTTCTAGTTTCATGTTCTCTGCCTCTGGCTGATGTGTATTGGCTCAGGTTTTTTGTGGTTTGGTTTTGATTCTTGGTTTTCAACTATATCAGAGAAAAAAGCGAAAGTATTTTGTCACCTTTGCCTAGAATATTTGCCGAATGGTGGCTGCCCAAGTCCTTTCAAATTGAGTGAAGAAATCTGAGCCTGCTTCCAGGTGGGAGGAGGACTGTGTTTCCAAGGAGAGAAAAAGTGAAGGAGTGGGGAGAAGGGAAGAGAATGAACTAGAGCTACCCTGCTATTCTGGCCACGAGGATAGAGAGAAAAAGAGAGGCTATGCCTATGTTACGTGTGCTGTATATAACCTTATTTCTGTTGTAAGTTCCACCTCTAGAAAATACGGGCCACTAATTATCGCAGAATCTAACCAATCATATCAATACTCTCAGAGCAGAACAAGGCAGGAATTAAAAGGATAAGCAACAGAATGTTTGAAAGCTGGTTCTTAATAGTCAACATTGTAGTATTAATAAGGATAATGCCAGCTGCAACAGCAAATCATCTCCAAAATTTCAGCAGCCTATCCCAATAAAAGTTTATTTCCTGTTTGTATGACAATCCAAAGTGGGTATTTCTTCGAGTAGGGCTGCTTTCCTCCACTCAATGATTTAAGAACCAATGTTTCTTCAATCTTAAGGCTCCACCTTACACTGGTGATTTTCAATTTTAACTCAATATTGTAATTACCTGAGGAGCTTTATGCTAATACATGAGCCCCATCCCCAAGATATTCTGATTTTATTGGTTTTAGTTGCAGCTTGGGCATCAACAAGTTTAAAACACCTCCAGGGGTGTCTAAAGTATAGCCAGTGTTACACAAGGGTGTTGCCCTAGGGCAGTGGTTCCCAACGTGTGGTGCCCAGATTGGTATATCCACAACATCTGGGAACTTGTAAGACTTGCAAATTATCAAGTCCCTGATCTACTGAAGAAAAACTCTGGGGATAGAGCCCCCAGCAATCTGTGTTTTAACAGCCTTCTAGTTGATTCTGAGGCATACTCAAGTTTTGTTTTGTTTTCGAGATAGGATCTTGCTCTGTCACCCAGGCTGGAGCGCAGTGGTGCAATCATGGCTCACTGCAGCCCCAACCTCAACCTCCCAGACTCAAGTGATCCTCTTGCCTCAGCCTCCTGAGTAGCTGGGACCACAGGTGCACATCACCATGCCTGGCTAATTTTTCTTTCTTTCTTTCTTTCTTTCTTTTTTTTTTTTTGGTAGACATGAGGGTCTCACTATGTTGCCCAGGCTAGTCTTAAATTCCTGGCCTCCCAGAGTGCTGAGATTACAGGTGTGAGCTACCACATCTAGTTGCAAAGTTCTCTGCAACCAGGTGGAAGAGAAAAGAGGAAGCGTGAAGGAGCATATCTCTTTCTTAAATACCTTGGACTAGAAATGACCACATGGGGCCAGCTACATTCAGAGGACTATGAAATGTGACCCTGGCTGGGCAGCCTGTTTCTGCAATAATCATACACTCTTGAGTTGCCTGCACTGACTCTGAATTCCACACTAAATCAGGATTGAAAGAAAAGGAAAAACAATTCTAAATTCTAGGTATAACATAGATGGTCAGGGCTCTCAGGCCCTAGGAGTTCAAGATGAAACAAAAACCTATAAAAAGACATACAAATTACTTGTGTTGATACAGGATAGATGAGGTTCATTCAGACAGAGAAACTGACACATAAAAATTGCACAAATTTATAACCAATATGCCATGCCTTATAATGTTATTTTTTCATCAAAGTGATATAACCCCTGGAGTCCTCATTCTAACTCTCCTAGATTCACCACCTCCCCACTTCCTTCCCTGCAATAGCTCAACAGCAACTCTAAGGCAAAGATAGAAGATTGTACATCTGTAGGGACATGGCCATCTCAGAAGTCAGTCCATAAGAAATTTGCCTACTTGAGACCCCCTGCTGTGTGATGATAGAGGGTACAGAGACCTTAAAATTGAGCAGTTTGAGGCCGGGTGAGGTGGCTTATGCCTGTAATCCCAGCACTTTGGGAGGCTGAGGCGGGCAGATCACGAGGTCAAGAGATCAAGACCATCCTGGCCAACATAGTGAAACCCCGTCTCTACTGAAAATATAAAAATAAGCTGGGTGTGGTGGTGTGTGCCTGTAGTCTCAGCTACTCAGGAGGCTGAGGCAGGAGAATTTCTTGAACCTAGGAGGCGGAGGTTGCAGTGAGCCGAGCTTGTGCCACCGCACTCTAGCCTGGTGACAGAGCAAGACTCCATCTCAAAAAGAAAAAGAAAAAAAAATTGGGCAGTTTGATTCACATTCATGTCCTGGCTTTGCCATTTCTTTCCTGTCCTGTATGACTTAGGGTGAGATACTTACCCTCTCTGAGCCTCATTTTGCTCTTCTCTGAAAGAGATAAAAGTCCTGGCTTGTAGAATTATTGGGACAACTACATGCAATAAAATGGGTGAAATGCTTAAAAAATGTCTATGTTTCTAATTCCCCCTTTCTTTTCCTACACTCAGGGTAGGAATATATCCATAGAACACATGCAGATGGATAAGCCAGGTTCTGGTCTCCATTCCAGGAGAATGCCATTTGGTTGAATTTTGGCTACAGTGTACGGACATAAAGAATTTGGGTCATTCTTATACCCAACAGACCACATCCAGGAAATGTATTCAAGATGCTTTGATCTCATCTGAGGGGTGGCTAAGTACAACCCATTCTTAATAAAGCTATTTATAGTGAGAAGCAATTTGGGTCAGGCCTGCCTTTCCAGTCTGCCTCATTGGCAAAGTGGTAGGCCCCTGACTTCTGTCTCTTACGTGTTCCTTGTGGTTTCTGTCTGCTCTGACTTTGGTTGTGTGTTGCATTTAGATGAGATGCCAAGGAGATAATATCGTCCAGAGAGCTAAGGAACAGCCTGAATGCCTGGGGACTTTGTACTGTCTGTGACACTTCAGAAAGTGACTCAATTAGCCAGTGGTTCAGAGCAATGAGAACCCATGAACACTTCGTCCATTTGAGGGTAGAGACCACTCTGGCCACTTGAAAGCTTAGACTAGACTATACACCAGCCCCTTGAAAGTTAAAGGCTAATTCCAACTTTATGATTCTTGATGAGGGTCAAGTTGCCAGTGAGGATCTGGTAAGAGGATGAGACCAGGCGATTACTGATACCAATTTTGTGCCTCAAAATAAAATGAATTCGTTCTCCAGATAATTTTAGATTCTGGGTTTCAGAGTCACCTCAGAACAATAATAAAAGTATGATAACAGTAATAAACAGTAATGAAAAGCACTTATGGGCTGGGTATGGTGGCTCACGCCTGTAATCCCAGCGTTCTGGGAGGCTGAGACTGGTGTATCACTTGAGGTCAGGAGTTTGAGACCAGCCTGGCCAACATGGTGAAACCCCATGTCTAGTAAAAATACAAAAATTAGCTAGGCGTGGTGGCGCGTGCCTGTAGTCTAGGCTACTTGAGAGGCTGAGACATGAAAATCGCTTGAATCCAGGAGGTGGAGGCTTCAGTGACCCAAGATGGTGCCACTGCACTCCAGCCTGTGGACAGAGGAAGACTCCATTTGAAGAAAAGAAAAAGGAAGAAAGAAAAGTACTTTTATACACCTATGAAAGTGCTTTCTATAGTGTAAGAAGGCTGGTCCTTTCCATTTCCTGGGAACACCATACTTGTCTTGGTTAGAGATCATTTGGAGGCACGAAATTCAAACCTACAGCAAAGTAACAGTTGTATGTGTTATAGTCAGATTATACTAATCTAGCTTTCTAAGTCATATAGTCCTGTATCTAAGCAGTGTTTTTCTCCATAGTCTTGACTGGAGCTAAGGGTTGGCAGTCAATTCTTGCTGCCAAGTTTGCGACATGGCTGGGATTGTGTGAGTTCTACAGAAGCCACATGAAAGATAATTCCCGTTCCTCCTCCTGCAGCCTGCCCTTAAATTTACAAGGACATGACTTTGGGAGGCTGAGGTGGGTGGATCACGAGGTCAGGAGTTCGAGACCAGCCTGACCAACATGGTGAAACCCCATCTCTACTAAAAATACAAAAATCAGCCGGGAGTGGTGGCGCGCACCTATAATCCCAGCTACTTAGGAGGCTGAGGCAGGAGAATCACTTGAACCCAGGAGGCAGAGATTGCAGTGAGACAAGATCACGCCACTGCACCACTGCATTCCAGCCTGGGTGACAGAGTGAGAATCTGTCTCAAAAAAAAAAAAAAATTACAAGGACATGTTCCTAGCATGGAGTCTCTGGATATTGTGATAAAATTGTCACATGTCATTAACACAGTTCAATTCTGCAACTTGAGTGATTGGACAATCTGATTCCATTGCAAACTTTTTTTTGGTAACTGCATCAGCATCTTCCTAAAATATATTAGAGTTGCCATTGACAGATGGTTTGAGATGGGTCCAAGGAGGCTGTTGACAGATATCTTAAGATGGATCTTATTACATTGACATTGACATATCTGAAGAATGTCCTGTGGGAAATGTCTTCACAGGCCTGGAGGTTGACAGAACAAGATGGAAGCCCTTCAAGAAAATTGTCAATAAAGAAAGACTGAAAATGGGCATAGCTTTCCTGAGGTAATTCAGCAATATGGATTGAGTCTTAGAAATTCATACCTTTTGACCCTGTATTTGTCTTTTCAAGTTTCAGCTGAAAGTGCTGCTCAGGCATGTGTGCAAAGATTTATGTATAGAGACTTTCACTGCAGCACTAAACATATCATGGTGAAGAACTGGAAATCACCTAAAGTCCTACAGGGGGGGCAGTTTAAATACACTAGTTATATTTATATCTGTGCTTACTATGATTTTAAAAATCAGAATAACTCTATTTAGGGTGGTCTCAGTTTTGTAGAAGGAAAGAAAGACTGAAAGGAAACATTTTCTAAATGTTAATAGTGACAATCTCTGGGTGATAATATCACAAGTACTTTTTCATCATTTCACTTTTTGTATTTCCAGTGAACGTCATGTGAGGGTGTTACTTTCATGTCAGAAAAATACATGCCATTTTAAATTTATGTAAACAAGATTTTTTTTTTGATGGAGTTTTGCTCTTGTTGCCCAGGCTGGAGTGCAATGGTGCGATCTCAGTTCACCACAACCTCCACCTCGTGGGTTCAAGCGATTCTCCTGCCTCAGCCTTCTTAAGTAGCTGGAATTACAGGCATGTGCCACCACACCTGACTAATTTTGTATTTTTAGTAGAGACGGGGTTTCTCCATGTTGGTCAGACTGGTCTCAAACGCCTGACCTCAGGTGACCCACTGCCTTGGCCTCCAAAAGTGCTGGGATTACAGGCGTGAGCCAGCACACCCGGCCTTAATTGTTATATTTTAGGCTTTACCTAGGTAAATGAACATTTTTTATATAGTCAGCACCTATTGTTTTGTGTTCTATTCTTTACCATCTAAGTAAAAATAACATACACAAAAAATCCGATGAACTTGGAAAATTGTACATACATTATATTATAATATAAATATATGAAATATTTAATTGTTTGAAATTTGAAAATCAACATATGTAAGTAACTCTCCTGATCTGCTCTCCACAACAATTTAACTTCTGCTCTTTCTATAGCAGAAATACTACTACACCCTTAAAATCAGGCATCTAGAACTAACTGCCTGAATTCAACTAATTTATCAAATTTTTAAAATATACAAAATATTCTTTAAGAATGTGGAATTTAAATTTAACCCAATCCACTGGAGAGAAAGAATAACAGGTTTAAAAGAACCCAGTGGGTGAAAAATCTGTTAAGCCTTTAGGAAGCAGCAACAGTAGTGAAAGTATTTCTGAGATAGATGCAAAAATGAAATTGAAGATGACCATACAACATAAGAGGCTGTGGCTAAGGCTTGACTCCGTGTCCATAATGACAATGACCTCAAGGGAAATTTAGAAGAGTAAACAATGCAGAACCTGCAGTTGTATTTTAACAAGGCCTGCCTCATACAATTCAAGTCAAAATACCACTTTCATCAGATAATTATTTCTGTTTTTCCATGAAGTAGCACAGGAAATATGTTATGAAATTACTTGCCAAGGTCAAGAAAACTCATAATCTTGACAAGTGGGGGAGAAAAAGAATAATTGTGCTTCCATCTAGACCAGTAATTCTCAACTAGGGGCAGTTTTGCCTCTCAGGGAATATTTGGCAATGTCTGGAGTCATTTTTGGTTGTCACAACTGAGGAGGTGAGGGGAGTGCTGCTGGCATCTAGCAGGAACATCCTACTGTGTGCAGAACAGCCTATGTGATGGTTAATATCAACTGTCACCTTGATTGGATTGAAGGATGCAAAGTATTGTTCCTGGGTGTGTCTGTGAGGGTGTTGTCAAAGGAGATAAACATTTGAGTCGGTGGATAGGGAAAGTCAGACTCACCCTCAATGTGGGTGGGCACAATCTAATCAGCTGCCAGCATGGCCAGAATAAAAGCAGGCAGAAGAATGGGAAAAGACTAGACTGGCTGAGTCTCCCAGCCTACACCTTTCTCCTGTGCTGGACGCTGCCTCCCTTGAACATCAGACTCCAAGCTTTGGGACCCTTGGACCTTTGACCACCAACAGAGGGCTGCACTGTTTGCTTCCCTAGTTTTGAGGTTTTGAGACTCAGACTGGCTTCCTTGTTGCTCAGCTTGCAGACAACCTATTGTGGGACCTCCCCTTGTGATGGTATGAGTCAATACTCTTAATAAACAGGCGTGATGGCTCACGCCTGTAATCCCAGCACTTTGGGAGGTCAAGGTGCGTGGACCATGAGGTCAGGAGATCGAGACCATCCTGGCTAACACAGTGAAATGCCGTCTTTTCTAAAAATACAAAAAAATTAGCCAGGCATGGTGGTGGGTGCCTGTAGTCCCAGCTACTCGGAAGGCTGAGGTAGGAGAATGGCGTGAACCCAGGAAGCAGACCTTGCAGTGAACTGAGATTGTGCCACTGCACTTCAGCCTGGGCAACAGAGCAAGACTCTGTCTCAAAAATAAAAAAAAATAAAAAATAAAAAAACTCCCCTTTATATATACGTCTATCTTATTAGTTCTGTCCCACTAGAGAACCCTAATACAGCCTCCTACAACAATAATTATCCAACCCAAAATGTCAGTAATGCCAAGGATGAGGAACCTTGGTCTAGAGAGTGACAAATGATGAGAAGAAATAACCAAATGCATGACCCATGCCATTCTGCTCTCTCATTGGAGGGGTAGTGAAAGGTGGGGGGTGGCTAGGGGAACTCACTTTTCCAAGCCTCCCTGTACTAGATCCAAGACCAGGTGGAAGAGGATGGCTCCCAACTCCTGATGGCCGACACCTCAGTCATCTCTTTCATAAAGATTAAAGGAAAAATTCAAATATCATAGCATCTTGATTTCACTGGAACTTATATAGGCAAAACTCCTAGTTTAGCAGACTTTTTTTTTCTCTCTTTATAGAAGTAGAAAGGAGCAAAATACCAGAAGGAAAAGGCTCATTTCAAGAACTTCAAAAACATGTCCTAGGGTTGAGTAGAAATTCTACCCAATCTCCCATTTCCTTTTGTTTTGCTTTTTCTGGACAATGGGAATTGGGGTCCAGAATATTTAGCCTGAGGTCCACCCTGACCCTCAACTATCAGGCAAACATTAAATTGCATTTAGAGTAAACTGTGCTTTTTAAGGCAGGAAACTCAACTCACGCTTTTCAGAGACTTTCAATGGCAAGGGTTGAAGTGAAAAGGATTTTCTGGTTAACTCTGAGATAACCTGGAATCTCCCATACCCAGGGCATTTTGACTAATTGCAGTTTTCCTGTAGTTTACACTTTTTAAGACCTTCTTGATATTGGCAAGGTTTACAGGAAGGGCTACTGACAGTATGAAAAACTCAAATCCAAATTTCCATTTCTGCATTTCATTCCTGTAATGTTGGAATGTATTAAAAACAAAAGTGTAACCTTTTTTTGTAATGTAACAATTCAACTGGGTGGTTTTTTTAAACATCTAAAAACAAAGAAGACATTCTATGGGTAGAGAAGAGTTAACTGGCCTACAGAACAGCAGTGGAAGATAAAAATGGTGGTTCTGACTGGCAACCTGTTTCACATGGACAGCTTTGCATGACTGTGTCTGTTTTGGAAAGTTTGACTTAAAACATTTGCATGATTGTTTTGCTAGGAACGAAACACATTAAGGTAAATGCTTTTGCCTGAATATCCCTAATCTCATTGTGACAGGTTTGTATCCAGCCTGGTTATAGCCAGGACTAACTCTTCTCCCACGTTCTTGCTAATTGGCAGCAGCAGACAGTGTGTGAGTTGGGATATGTGAAAGATGGAGAAAAACAAAAATAAAGCCAAACTCTAAAACTCCAATCATCTTTAATTAGTCAAGAAAAATCAACAGCTTGAGAATGTACACCTACTAAGACAGCGAGAAGGGATGGCTACAAAGTGCTTCTGTCTCTAAGGATCTTGTGCCCCTCATTTAATCTTCCCTGGCGTTTGTTTGTTCCACATGTTAAAAAATGTTATCCTCTGTTTTTACCAGAGGTAGCAGTGCTTAATTTAGAAATTTTAAAAATGCAGAAATATCCGTAATAGATCTGGTGCTACAAGGTCATTCTCCCTGTCTCTGTTTCTCTCCCTGATGGTAGAGAATATCCTATATTGTGAGAATAAAAATAGCCAGAGTCAGATGTCAGTTAATCAGAGTCTACCTAACAGGATGGTTAATCAAAGCACTTTTTTTTTTTCTGTTTAACAACGTGGAATAGTGAAAACATCATCAACTTTGATTCTCTGGAGCCTGGGCTTAAAATCTTCCATGGCTTTCTAGCTGTGTGACTTTAACAAAATCAATGTACTTCTCTGAGACTCAGCTTCCACACTAGTAAAATGGTTTTGTTATAAATACACACACACACACACACACACACACACACATATACACACATATTTTTTTTTGAGATGGAGTCACACTATGTTTCCCAGGCTGGAGTGCAGTGGCACGATCTCGGCTTACTGGAACCTCCACCTCCCGGGTTCAAGTGATTCTCCTGCCACAGCCTCCCAAGAAGCTAGGATTATAGGTTCCCACCACCACGCCCAGCTAATTTTTTATTTTTTGTAGAGACCGGGTTTCACCATGTTGGCCAGGCTGGTCTCAAACTCCTGATCTCAAGTGATCCACCCACCTCGGCCTCCCAAAGCGCTGGGATTACAGGCATGAGCCACCAGGCATGGCCTCGTTTTGTTATTACTAGTAGGTAGTGTGTGATAAGGATAAAAGTAAACAATACATGCAAAGCAAATTGTTGGAACTCAATAGATATTAGTCCCATTCCCTGCCTCTCCAAGACACAACATAACACCTCCCATTCACATAATACACAGTTATTTGTTGTTGTTACTGTTGAGTGTTTTGTTGAATACTTTTAGAAAAAAGAGTAAAAAGTATTAGAAACCAAACCAATAGTGAAGATTTAAATCAAACAAAGGCAACGTCTGTAGCAAGGTCTGGGGTGAATTTATGACAGGTATGACTCATTGTCTTCAGTTTTCTATGCACAAAGGAAATGAGAACTGGCAGTTCTTCAGGATGACCCTAGCATTCTGCAAGATCCTCAATCATCTCTGAAAAGGGACACTGTGTTCCTTTTTGGTTAGGACTGTTTGGTTGCAAGTAACATAAGCTGCCTCAAGCTGGCTTGCATATGCATTTTGAGGTGTGTGTGTACACGTGCCTGTGTGTGGTGAAGGGGTAGTTCAAAGTGCCTTATGGAGCCAAAACTTGTAGAAACTACTCACTGTATATCTTTTTCATTTTTACTTTCCCTTACACTAGTTTTTGCTTCTTGTCCCAAATGGCAGAAAAATTGCTGCCCCACAATTCTAGAGGTTATGTTATAGATCCAAGCGCATGAAGAGACTGATGCAACCAGAGTTTCCCCCAATTTGAAATTCTCAGAGAAAGAAGCTGATTGGTTTAGCTAAGTTCCGCTGTACACCTCAGCTCCAATCATCTGTGGCTAGGAAGACAGCATTGCACAAACACAGGTGAAGGAGGCTTACTCCTAAGATCCTGAGGATGGAAATAAAAGAGGAGTTTCAAAGGGTGGGGAAAGGTGAGTGTCATTAGGTATAGACACACCAAAGGTGTCATTCCAGTTTAAGTAGTAGGGGGGAAGTGAACTAATATAGAATAATTTTTAACAGCCAGAGCCAGAATCTAAAAGGGTTTTGGCTTAGCATGGTGGCTCACACTTGTAATTGCAACACTTTGGGAGGCTGAGGTGGGAGGATCACTTGAGCCCAGGAGTTTGAGACCAGCCTGGGCAACATAATGAGACCCCGTTCTACAAAAATAAAAATAAAAACAAATTAGCCAGGCATGGTGGTGCATGCCTGAAGTCCCAGCTACTCAGGAGGCTGAGGCAGGAGGATCTCTTGAAGGAGTTCAAGGTTGCAGTGAGCTATTATCACACTACTGAACCCCAGTCTGGGCAGCAGAACAACATTCTGCCTATTAAAAAATGAAAGTAAGAAGGTTTTTTTAAATATATACATACCATAGTTAAGCCAAAAAATTCAATTAGACCAAACTTATTTTACCTTTCATGTCAATTATAGCAGACACAGATGCTTGCCTACCTAACAGCCTATTCTCTTTTCTTCTAAGTTGACCGTACCACACATTTACTTGGGTGTCTGCTCCATCATCTTATCAGTCATAGATAACCCCCATCCCTGTGTTTAGATGTAAATTAGTCTAATAGGTGCATTGTGATCCTATTTGCTGTCTAGTTAGTGGCTTAGACATAAGCATGTGATACAATTCTAGCCACTAAAACTCGATAGACAGTCTGCTGATAGGCCTTTTGCAAAGATTTTTTTATTCTCAGTGATGAAAAGAAACTCATAGGAACACTCCTTCTTCTTTTAGATACTTTTAGATCTGGCTGTGATGCGCGGGACTGTGGCAGCCACCTTAGGCCCATGAGGGGACTTAGCATGAGAATGGAAGAACTGAAAGATAGAAAGAACTTGGGTCCTTGATGACATCATTTGAGTCACTGGGTTAACCCACCTTGGACTACTTTACTTCTGGGATTCTTGTTATTTGATAAAAGAAGTGTTCTTATTGTTTAAGCCAGTTGAATTCATTTTTAATTTTTAGTTACTTGAATCCCCAAACATCCTAAATGACATACCTCCAAATTAATACAAATCACAAGCCACAAATGAGACATACTTTAATGAGAGCTGACTTGATAGCATGGAGAACAATTTTGCAAATTCTTAGGAGAAGCTGTCCCTTAGGCAACAGTGATATTGGTAGCCAGGAGATCATAAATCATTTCTAATGCTCCCAGAGCCTTATCAATATACAGAATTTTGCAAGCACAGCAACATTTTTTTTTATATTTATGAAAAAAGCACCTCAAAGGAATTATCTGTTTAAAGTAGCTTTTTTGTGCTTCAAAGTCCTTGCTCCTTCAGACAGAGAGTTGGACAAGTTTAAAGTGGTTTTATTGTGCGTTCCACTCGCTCAAGTTTGATAGGCTGTGTTTTCATGACAGGTCTGTCCCAGCACTGGGTGCCTGGGATGATTTGATGTGGGCTGAGTTCGGACAGCCTAATACTTGGGAAAAAATGTGCTGAAATTGAACAAGATCGCTTTCTGCCCAGCTGTTCTCCAAAGGCTCAGACATTTTTAGCACTGAGCAAAGAAGCTTGTATTTGTTTTGACGTT
Source organism: Homo sapiens (assembly GCF_000001405.40). Classification (NCBI taxonomy): domain Eukaryota; kingdom Metazoa; phylum Chordata; class Mammalia; order Primates; family Hominidae; genus Homo; species Homo sapiens. The sequence goes on along the minus strand of NC_000011.10, from coordinate 35,906,102 downwards.
CTTGGCAAGGAGAACAATGGTTTATTATCCTAGCACTTTACTAACAAATAAGACTGCCTCCAGCAGAGATAAAATATGGGTCTTGACTTCATTGCATCTCATGTCCAAGGGAATTATCTTCTATTCATTCTGATGCCCTTTCATTATGCAGTGTATCTTTTTGTTCTTTATCCTTACCCCACAAAGTAACCCCTGGCTTTCACTCTGAGAAGACAGCTTCCTGAAATCACCATGGGCATGGCAGTTTGATTGTCTTATAAAACATATACTGTATTTTCACTTCTCCAATTTGATATCTTGGAATTTTTTTGTTTGTTTGTTTGCTTTTGGTTCTCCAGATGTGTATGGTTACTTTCTTCTCTAATTTTTCTGTCTGCTTCCTTTTGATATTTGTTTATGTTGTTGCTACTGTTTTAGCACACAGAAGTCTTGGCTTTTACATCATACCTACATTGAAGAGGGCTATCCGGACGCTTTTCTTCGCCCATATGGAGAAGTGTATTACACAGAACAATAGTTTTCTTCAAAACAAAAGGAATTTTTAATATTTTCATGAAAACACTTCTATTTCTCTCCCTATTCTTTGCCTTCCAAAGGATTTTAAAAATTAAACCTTTTTGTAAGTATCACATATGCAGATGTGTGTATAGTTCAATGCATTTTCACAAAGTGAGCACAGCTGTGTAACAATTGTCCCCTCATGTCCCCTCACTGTCGCTGCCTGCCTGTTCCCAAAGGTAACCACTATTCTGACTTCTATCATCAAGCTAAATTTTTCCTCTTTTGCTCGACATTACAGTTGTATGATTCAATCGTGTTGTGATGGATAATGGTAGTTTCATTTTTACTACTGCATATCATTCCATTGGATGACTACACTACAATTTATGTTGATGGCCATTTGATTTGCAAATTTGGGGCTATTACAAGTAGTACTGCTATCACATTTTTGTATGTGTCTTTTGGTGAATATATGTCCACATTTTTCTTAGTTATATGTACCTAGAGGCAGAATTAATGGGGAAGAGGGTATGTATATATTCACTGTTTGTAGGTTGTCCCAATTTATATTTCTGCCAAGAAGGTATGAAAGTCCTGTATCAGTTCAAATACTTGCCAGCACTTGGTATTATTGGTCTTTTAATGATAGCAATTCTGTTAAGTGGGTGGCAGCATCTTGTTGGTCTTATTTTGCATATTCCTGATGAATAATAAGATTGCATACCTTTTATGTTTATTGGCATTTGGAGATCCTCCTCTGTGAAGTGCTTAGAACAGTTTTCATCCTTTTTCTGTTGAGTGTTATATATATTTCTTATTAATATTAAAGACTTCTTTATATATTATGGAAATGAGTTCTTTGTTGAATATATGTATTGCAAATACTGTCTTGCACTCTGTGGATTGCCTTTTTACATTCTCATAGAATCTTTTAATAAATAGAAGTTGTTAATTTTTAAAAAACTTTGTACGATAAAATCATTTTAGACTTAAAAAAATAATACAGAGAGTTCCTGTATACTTTTTACCTAGCATTCCCTAATAGTAACATATTACTTAACCAGAGTACAAAAAATTAATACTGCCACAATACTATTACTAATCTACAGACCTTAATCCCCATTTTGTCAACTGTCCACTAATGCCCTTTTCACAGTTCAGGATCCAACCTAAGATTCCTACATTGACTAAAATTGTCATGTATCCTTGGTCTCTTGCAATCTGGGGTGATTCCTCAGTTTTTCTTTGTCTTTTTGAGCTCAACACTTTTGAAGAGGTATTTTGTAGACTATCCCTCAATTTGGGACTCTCTAATGTTTTCTCATAATTAGCAAAACTATTCCAATAATTAGTAACTATAAACATGGCGTATCTAAGAAATTTTGGTTTACTTTGTCTTTTTTTAAGTCAGGTTTTTGAGTATGATTTATATTCACATAGAGTACAATTCACCCTTGTTAGTGTATAGTTCTGAATTTTGACAAATATTTCCAGTCATGTAATAACTATCACAATTGAAAAATAGAACAGTCCCATTAACCCCCTAAAATTCCCTCATGCCCCCTACTCTTTTTTTTTTTTTTTTTTTTTTTTGAGACAGAGTCTTGCTCTGTCGCCCAGGCTGGAGTGCAGTGGTGCGATCTCAGCTCACTGCAAGCCCCACCTCCCGGGATCACGCTGTTATCCTGCGTCAGCCTCCCCAGTAGCTGGGACTACAGGCGCCCACCCACCACACCCAGATAATTTTTTGTATTTTTAGTAGAGACGGGGTTTCACCATCTTAGCCAGGATGGTCTCAATCTCCTGACCTCATGATCCACCCGCCTCGGCCTCCAAAAGTGCTGGGATTACAGGCGTGAGCCACTGTGCCCGGCCCCCTCATGCCCCTTTTTAGTCAACCTCTTCCCCTACTCCAGCCCATGGCAACCACCTATCTCAGGGGTCTACAACCCCCAGGTCATGGTATCAGTTTGTGGCCTGTTATCACCTGGCTGCACAGCAGGAGGTGAGTGGCAGGTGAGTGAGCATTACCACCTAAGCTCTGCCTCCTGTCAGATCAGCAGTGGCATTAGATTCTCATAGGAGCACAAACCCTATTGTGAACTGCACATACAGGGGATCTAGGTTGTGTGCTCCTTATGAGAATCTAATGCCTGATGACCTGAGGTGGAACAGTTTTATCTTGAAACAATCCCCCTTACCCCACCCCGTGGAAAAGTTGTCTCCCATGAAACCAGTTCTGGGTGCCAAGAAGGTTGAAGACTGCTGACCTGTTTTTAATCCCTATAGTTTTGTTTTTTCCAGAATTGACATATAGAGTCATACAGAATAGAGCCTTTTGAGTCTGGCTTATTTCACTTAGAATAATGCATTTGAGACACTTTATTTGGTTGTATCAGTAGTCTGTTCTTTTTCATTTCTTAGTAGTATTCCATTGAATGGATGTACCACAATTTGGTTATTTTTTTGTTCATTTCAATGATTTTACTCTGGTTATGTTACTATTAGACAAAGCTGGGTAAAGAATATATAGGCACTAACTGGTTTATCTATTCACCAGTTGGTGGACATTGAGCTGTTTCCAGTTTTTGGTAAAGCTTTGACTTGTATACAAATAAAGCCATTATAAAATTTGTATAGAAGTCTTTGTGTGGATGCAAGCTTTCATTTATCTTGGGTAAATACGTGGCGATGGAATTGCTGGATCATATGGTAAATGTTCATATATAAGTAATTGCCAAACTGTTTTTCAAAGTGGCTGTACTATTTTGCATTCTCATTCTCAACATATGGGAGTTCTAGTTGCTCCATATCCTTGACAGCACTTGATATTGTCAGTTTTTCTCATGATTAGATTGGGGTTATGCTTTTTTTTTTTTTTTTCAAGAATAACATGGATGTTTTGCTTTTCTCAGTGCATCATATCAGAAAGTATAGGATGCTGATATTGTTACTGGTCGGGTTAACTTTGATTAAGGTGATATGTGCCAGAATTCACAGTAAATTTACTATTTTTTCCTTTATAACTAATAAGTATCCTGTAGGGACATACTTTAGGACCATACAACTATCCTGTTTCTCATTCTACCTTTACCTACTAATTTTGGCATCCTGCAATGATTTGTGCTCCCAGTAATTATTACTCTGGTGTTGCCTATGATGATTTTCTATAATTCCCTTTGCACTTATTAATTGGAATTCTGCGTAAGGAAGTAGTGTCCTTTTGCCCCCATTTATTTATTCAATTATACCGATATGGACTCAAGGATATTAATTTTATTTTATGGGTTACAATTCATTTCTTTCTTATTTATTTTGTTTTTCAAATGGTCCCAGGATTAACCATTGGGAGCTCTTTCAGGTTGATTCCTATCAATATCACCTCGTTTTCTGGTTGTAAACTTACTTTCGGGTCCCACGATATGCTCCAGGCTCATCTTCTGTTTTCCCTGTCCGTGCTCTGGAGTCAACCATTTTTCCAAGGATTTATTGTTCCTTTTATTGTAAGATGATATTTATAAATCAAGATCTTGGTGCTAGCTTTGCACATTGTTACTGAGGTTTCAGTGCTTCTAGTCCCTCTCAACAGAAAGAGCTAGGAAGTATATCATATATGTACAGCACAAACATACATATAGCTATGTTTATTTTTATATCTATGCATTCTGTGGGAGTGCATATTAAAAGCCATGAATTCATACCGATGGTATAGGTTATAATCTAACACCACAGAGTTTCTTTGACCTTCATTTCCCTCATTTTTATCTTCTTTCTCTGATAGTGAACAACCTGTCATTATCTACAATGTATTTATTTGCTCAAACCTAGTATAGACATCAAATGCTTTCAGAATTGCTAACCTTTATAAGAAGCAAATGTACTTAACCTTTAACCTCATAGCTTTATAAGAAGGAAATGTACTTAACTATAGTACAATATTTCTATATGGTTCTTTTTGTCTTTAGCTTTACAATATATAACCAGAGTTCTATTTTCCAAAGTGACTTAGTTTTTTTCTACCTACCACCTTCAATGTGGCTCTGTTAGTCCAGAAGTTCTTAGTTTTGATAGTCATAGTTATCCATCCACCAGGAATTGATTTTTTAAAATTACAAACCATAAATACACAACTGGGTACGTTTTCACATATTAAACATCCTTGTGTAACCAGCACTTCAGAAGCTCCCTCTTACTTACTTCCAACCACAAACCCACTCCTTATGGCAACTATCATCCAAATTCTAATGCAATAGTATATGTTTCCATGCTTTATATAAATAGAATAATGTATTGTATGTTTTGGTGTGTGTATCTGCCTTCTTTCGATCAATATTATGTTTGTTACATTCATGTTATTACATGTAATTATAGTTTATTGTCATTGCTGTTTAGTAGTCCATTGCATCAATACACAAAAATTTACTTATCATTTCAACATTGATGAGAATTTGAGTGGCTTCCAGTATGAACATGTAAGCTAGTATGACACTATATTCTTAAACATGTCTTTTGGGGAATGTATGTATGTATTTTTGGGGGGTATCCTGGGAATAAAATTGTCTGCATTATAGGGTATGCATATGTTCAACTTTCATAGACCGTTCAAATAGTTTGCAGTGCTATAAGCAACATACAGGAGTTCCAGGTTGTCCCACATCTCAGCCGACACTTAGTATTGTCTACCTTTTAAATTTTACCCATTTTTGTAGATGTGACATCATATTGTAGTTAGCATTTCTCTGATGTCTAATTAAGCTAATCATTTTTTCCATATAGTTATTGGCCATTAGGCTAGCTTCTTTGTAAAGCCCATTATTTTGCTCATTTTTCTATTTTTCTTTTTCTTTCTTTTTTTATTTTTTGAGAGCTTTATCACCCAGGCTGGAGTGCAGTGGCACGATCTCACCTCACTGCAGCCCCCACCTCCTGGGTTCAACCGATTCTCCTGCCTCAGCCTCCCAGTTAGCTGTGACTACAGGCACTCACCACCGTACCCGGTTATTTTTTTGTATTTTTAGTAGAGATGGGGTTTCACCATGTTGACCAGGCTGGTCTTAAACTCCTGACCTCAAGTGATGCACCCACCTGAGCCTCTCAACGTGCTGGGATTACAGGCATTAGCCACCATGCCCAGCTCCATTTTTCTATTTTTCTATTGAGTCACTGGATTGTATGTTTGTTTTCTTACTGAATGGTGGAAGTTATTTATGCATGCTGAATATGAGTCCCTTTTTTGGAATTATGTGTTGCAGATATTTTGTCCCACTCTTTGAATTGCCTTTTCACTCTTTTAATTATGCCTTTAAATGAAAAAAAGTTTTTGATTCTAATATAGTCCAATTTATAAAGGTTTCCATCATGTTTATCAATTTTAATTCCTTTAAAAAAATTAACTACTTCAAGATCACAAAGATATTCTCCTGTTTTTAACTTTTAGAAGACATATTTTGTTTTACCTTTCAAGTTACGTTGCATTCCTCTAGAACTGTCTTTTTTTAATTTAAGAAAATAGTTTATTATTTAAAATATCTTAGAAAAATCATGTAAAATCATCAATTTTATGACAAAATTAATTTTTTTTTTTTGAGATAGAGTCTCGCTCTGTCGCCCAGGCTGGAGTGCAGTGGCACGATCTCGGCTCACTGCAAGCTCCGCATCCCAGGTTCACGCCGTTCTTCTGCCTCAGCCTCCTGAGTAGCTGGGACTACAGGTGCGCGCTACCACTCCCGGCTACTTTATTTTTGTATTTTTAGTAGAAACGGGGTTTCACAGTGTTAGCCATGATGGTCTCAATCTCCTGATCTCGTGATCCACCCGCTTCAGCCTCCTGAAGTGCTGGGATTACAAGCATGAGCCACCGTGCTCGGCCAACAAAATTTAAAATTTTTTAAATTGACAGATAACATTTTAGCTGTTGTATTGTGTACAACATGATTAGAATTGCTTTTTATGTATGACGTAAGGGTAGGGATCAAGATTTTATTTTTTTTCCCTTAAGATTTATTATTGCTCCTGAGCAAGTTATTAAAAAAAAAACTTGTTTTCCATCTTATCGTAAGTTAAATGATCACGTATGTGTGTATCAGTTTCTGGTCTCTAGTTCTATGTCTCTGGTCTATTTTTATACTCTTGTAATAATTCCACATTTGTAAATCTTGCATTGTAATAAGCATTGTACCTGATAGTGTCAGTCCTACAGCTCTGTTCTTGAATATTATTTTGTCTGTGCTTAATCCTTTACATTTCCATATGCATTTTAGAATCAGCTTGTTAACACCAGCCAAATGCATATTCTCATACAAAGCTGCTGGGTTTTTACTTTAGCTTGCATTGAATCCATATGTCATTTTGGGGGCATTGTCATCTTTACAATATTGTGTTTTCCAATCCATGAAGATGGTATATCCATCTATTTATTTAGGTTTTCTGTAACTTTTTTTCTTAGTAGTGGATATTTTCTAGTTATCTTTTTGTTATTGATTTCTAGTTTAACTGCACTGTAGTCTAACAACATATTCTGTATGCTTTCAATTATTCTGAATATTCTGAGATTTGCTTTGTCCATTCATATTGTCAAGTTTTGGTAAATGTTCTGTGTTCATTTGAATGACATTTATATTCCTCATTTGTTGGGTGCGATGTTCTACATAAGCAGTTTGTTAATTATGCTGTTCAAATATTCTCTATCCTTACTGATTTTTGTCTACTTCTTCTATTATTTCCTGAGAAATAGATTTATCTATTTTCCCCTTTTCTTATGCTAATTTTGCTTTATATTTTGAGGCTATGTATTACATGTTGGAAAATACAGGCCAGGTGCAGTGGCTCATGCATGTAATCGCAGCACTTTGGGAAGTTGAGGCAGGCAGATTGCTTGAGCCCAAGGTTCAAGACCAGCCTGGGCAACATGTGAAACCCCATCTCTACAAAAATTACTAAAATTAGCCAGGCATGGTGGCGTGCACCTGTAGTCCCAGTTTCTTGGGAGACTGAGGTGGGATAATTGCTTGAGCCCAGGAGGCTGAGGCTGCAGTGAGCTGTGTTCATGCCACTGCATTCCAGCCTCAGCAACAGAGCAAGACCTTGTTTCAGTAACAAAAAAAAGAAAAAGAAAAAAGAAAGAAAAAAATTTAGATGTGTTATACCTTTTTAGTGGATTAATCCGTTTCTCATTGTAAGATGTCCTTCTTTATCTTTAGTAATGCTTATTACATTAAAGTTTACTTTTTCTGAACAGATGTGGTGGCTCACATCTGTAATCCCAGCACTTTGGGAGGCCAAGGCAAGAGGATAGCTTGAGGCCAGGAGTTTGAAACCAGCCTAGGCAATATAGTGAGATCTCATATCTACAAAAAATAAAAATTAGCCAGGCATGGTGGCATGCATCTGTAGTCCCAGCTACTTGGGAGGCTGGGGTTGCGGGGATGGCTTGAGCCCAGGAGGTCCAGGTTGTAGTAAGTCACAATCTTGCCACTGCACTTTAGCCTGTGCAACATAGTGAGACCTCATCTCAAAAAAAAAAAAAAGTTTACTTTTTCTGATACGTGACTATATATTATCCTTATTTTTCCTAATGCTTATATGGCATATTTTTGCCAATTATTTATAGCCAGGCTTTCTATGCCCTTATATTTAAGATATGTTTCTTATAAGTAGCAAATAGTTGAGGATTTTTTAAAAATCCAATTAGACAATTTTTACATTTTAATTGTAGCACAGTCAATGTACATTCATGGAAATACTGAAATAATAACTTAGTTGGGTTTAAATCTATTGTATGATTTATCTTTTCTTTGTTCTATATTCCTTTTCCTCTCCTTTGTTGTCTTCTTTTGAATTGGTCAAGTTTTTTTTTTATCATTCCATATCCCCCTTCTATTGGCCTTTTAGGTATATATTCTTTTATCTCCTTTTTAAGTGATCACCTTAGAATTTATACCATGCATTCCTGATTTATAATAGTTTAGTATTAATTAGTACTTTTACTACTTCCTGGACAATGGAAGAACCTTAGAATACATTAACTCCACTTATCTCCCTCCGCCCGGGTGGGTTTTGGTAGGTAGTTATGAAGATAAACTAGTAGTCTGCTAGCTGAGAAGACATTGTAGGTACTTAAAACAGCAAGTCTGTGTGTAATGATCTCCTTTGCCCTCTCCAACACATTCTCTCCTGTTTCTGTGAGGCTGACCACTTGGATAACTGCATCACCAAGGTGGCTTTGTCCTCTCCCTTTCTGTTTTGTAGCTAGCGGGAGGGACTGGCAAGAGACTGCAAGATTAGAGCAGTTGGAATACTTATTCTCTCCTTCCCATCATCCCTGCCAGCCTGCCATGGTTCTGACTGCAGCTGCATCCTCCTACAGCTCCAACCTCACACAACCCCTTTCCCAAGATCTGACTCCTGCAAGAGTCTGGTCTGGAAGAAGCTGCAATAATATTCCACATCCACTAGCTGTCCAGTACACATATAATAAAACCCACATCCTCATTGTGATCTACAAGACGTTAGTTGATTTGGCCTCTGTCTGCTAATCGGACCTCGGCTGTACTTTCTCACTCATTTACTGCTTCTTTGTCAAATAGTCCTTTTTTACCCTGTTCAGAAAACATATCAAGTTCCCTCCAGTCTCTGGGCTTTTGCAATTGCTCTTTCCCTTCTTGGGCACATTTTCCTTCTCATCATCCAAGTTTCAGCTCAACAATCACATTCTTAGCGAAGGCTTTAATAGTAACTGTTTCTAAAGGGGCTTCCTTTTTCTGTTTCTCACGTATTACTGGAAGTTTGCCCCCTGTAGGACTTATTGCTGTCTGGAGAATTTTCTTTATTTATTTGTTGACTTCTGTATTATCTGCTTGCCTCCTCTACAATGTAGACAGAGGGAAACTTTGTCTGTCATATTCACCAGAGTATCTTTAGCACCTAGAAGAAACATAATAGATGCTTGATCAATATTTCTCGAATGAATGAATGAACTTATCTTTCTGTCTGGCTCCCAAACATCCCCCCCTCCTCATATATACATTCAATCCTTTATCACCCTGTATTAGGCCAATTCTTGCATTGCTATAAAGAAATACCCGAGACTGGGTAATTTATAAAGAAAAGAGGTTTAATTGGCTCATGATTCTGCAGGCTGTACAGGAAGCATAGTGGCATCTGCTTCTGGGGAGGCCTCAGGAAGCTTCCAATCATGACAGAAGGTGAAGGGGGTGCAGGTATGTCATATGGCGAAAGCAGAAGCAAGAGGCGGGGAGGTGCCACATACTTTTAAACAACCAGATCTTGCAAGAACCCCCTAACTATCACAAGCACAGCATCAAGGGATGGTGCCAAACCATTCATGAGAAATCCACTCCCATGACCAATCACCTTCCCCTAAGCCCAACCTCCAACACTAGGGAGTACAACTCAACATGAGATTTGGGTGGGGACACATATCCAAATGGTATCACATCCCCCATTTCTCACTCACCAACAAATGGGGACTTTTCCAGCAAAGACCATTAGGCTAATGACAACAAATGACTTACTTGGGGAAAGCTTCCTGTAGGAAGTGGCATCTGATGTGGTCTTCAAAGAGAGGCAGGGAACTTCTACATAGAGAATCATCCAGCAATGAATTCAAGTCTAAGAATACCAAAAACCAAACTGAACCAAAACAGAAAACAAAATTCTAGACCAAAATGTTTATTTTATTTTATATTTTGAGATAGAGTCTCACCCTGTTGCCCAGGCTGGCATGCAGTGGCACAATCTCAGCTCACTGCAACCTCTGCCTCCCAGGTTCAAGAAATTATCCTGCCTCAGCCTCGAGAGTAGCTAGGACTACAGGCACGTGCCACCATGTCTGGCTAATTTTTTTGTATCTTTAGTAGAGATGGAGTTTCGCCATGTTGGCCAGGCTGGTCTTGAATTCCTGGCCTCACATGATCCGCCCACCTTGCCCTTCCAAAGTGTTGGGATTACAGGCATGAGCCACCGCACCCAGCCCCAAAATATTTTTTTAAATGAAAACATTTAGATTTTGTTAGTTTTCTAGTGCTATATAACAACTTACCACACACTTCACAGCTTAATGGGGGCCAAAATTCTGTCTACCACAGACACAAACACGGAAAAACAAAACTGGCTTCTGGAAGGGACTGAAGAACCCTAAAGACAAGTCTAGTCTCCCAAGGATAAAAAAGCAACTACCATTTTGATTTTGGAGATAAGCCCTACCTTCTCTCTTTTTAGATGTTCATCAGCTTTTCAATGGAATCTGAAATTTAAAAATTTGTTATAAATTCTTATGAAGACATAATCTGAAATTTTACGTTAAACTGGTTAAAGGTAACCAGGATCTAATAATTTGTCAAAGAGGATGAATATGGGATGCTTTTCTTGAATGCCTGAAACTCTTCTTAATCCAGAGCTTCTCTAAGTGTGGCCAGATGGTGGCTTGGAAATACCCATTCAGCGAGGCATGGTGGTTCACGCCTGTAATCCCAGAACTTTGGGAGTCCGAGGCGAGCAGATCATGAGGTCAGATCGAGACCATCCTGGCTAACACGGTGAAACCCCGTCTCTACTAAAAATACAAGAAAAAATTAACTGGGCGTGGTGGTGGGCACCTGTAGTCCCAGCTACTCGGGAGGCTGAGGCAGGAGAACAGCGTCAACCTGGGAGGCAGAGCTTGCAGTGAGCTGAGATTGTGCCACTGCACTCCAGCCTGGGTGACAGAGCAAGACTCTGTCAAAAAAAAAAAAAAAAAAAAAAAAAGCCCATTCATAGGGGCACCCAATGAATAAGAATTACTGGAATGAAACTGGAGTCTGTGTTTCTAACACACACTCCAGGTGATCTTTAAGCCCCCAAAATTTGACTCCCACAGCTCTCTTCTTTCCCCTGTATTACAGCAAAATGCAATCATCCCAAGTACCCAAAAGAGGTCTCAGACCATTGCCTTAGAGAAATGCAAGGAGAGCTAACAATTTCTAGCTCATGAGGATGGCCTGCTGACTTCCATGTTAAGTCAAGGGGTACCTCAAACTCTGGAGATGAGGACAGGAGAGTGGAGAGGCGAGGGAGTTAACATGGACAAGTGAGTGCGTGTTATGTGCAGGGAAGCAGGTTTTCTACTCACAGATAACACAGGTATGTGGATGGATACACAGTATGAATTTCTCCTAGGCTAGCCCGTCTGACTTCATAGATGGGGCTCTTCCCTTCTCCTGACAGTCAGGAGAGTTTTTTCTGTCCATCTCCTCTGAACTCTTGCCTCATCCCGGGAAGCAGAGCCAAGCCCTGAGGCAGCTTCGACCGCAGGAATGTCACAGGCACAGGTGTTTCTGGATTTACTGAACTCTTGCCTTGAAGCCAAAACAGCTGGGCTTACTGCAGCCCATTTATCCTGCTCCTTTTCTGCCCACTTTTCTCACTCATCTCTGACCCAAGGCTTGTGGTAAAGCACATCAGCATAGACTTGGGTGCAGGTAACAGCTGCCTGGAGGTGCCTGGGCATGTGTAAATTCAGGGCTGTCACCTCATTCCTCATTTAGGCAGCTGGCCAGCACCCGAGGGATTTTTCTGGATCTGCCAAGCACACATCTGAAGCTGAGAGCAGAGAGAGGGTAGGGGAGCAGGGAGGCAGCTGGGTGTTGAGGAAAGAAGGCTTTGAAAGCAACAGACCTAGACTTTGAACCCACACCTGCCACGTCCCGTATGACAATGGGCAAGTCACTTACCCTTCAAGGGCCTCATTTTTTATCGTTAAAATAGGCCTTTGACCTATTTCTTGCAGGTTTGTGTTGTGGATTAAGAAAAATGCTATGAAAGTGTTTGTTAAAATGATTGTCACATAGTAAGCCTTCTTTTTTGTTAGGGTCTTTTCTCCAATATTAAAAGCTTGCTTTGGCAAGTTACTTCTCCTCAGTGCCTCAGTTTCTTCATTTGTAAAGCAGGGACAATCATAGTATCTCACGGGGTAGTTGTGAGGCTTAAACGAGTTAATATATGCAAAGCTCTTTAGAACAGTGCCAACACATTGAAAGTTTTCAAGATGCATGAATTTTTAATTATATGCCTACTTACATTCACAACTCCTTTGGGGTCATAGGGGATGTTATGGAGAAGGCTGGAAACCTGAGAATCCAAGATAGGCCCAGTCTCTTTACAGCTGGAAAAGCAACTACCTGTCTTGATTCAGGCTGCTATAACAAAGTGCCATTGTGTTAGTCCATTTTGCATTCCTATAGAGGAATACCTGAGACTGGGTAATTTATAAAGGAAAGAGGCTTATTTGGCTCACGATTCTGCAGGCTATACAAGCATGGCACCCACATCTGCTTGGCTCCTGGTAAGGCCTCAGAAAGCTTACAATCATGATGAAAGGCAAAGGGGGAGCAGGCGTATCACATGGCGAGAGAGAGAGAGGAGGTCCCCATCTCTCTCTTGTTTTTTTTTTTTTTTTAAACAACCAGAAAGATCGCATGTGAACTTATTATTGTGGGGAGGGCATCAAGATATTCATGAGGGATCCACGCCCATGACTCAAATACCTCCCACTGGACCCACCTTCCACATTGGAGGTCACATTTCAGCATGAGATTTGGAAGGGACAAACATGCAAACTATATCAGCTGTAAACTGGGTGGTTTATAAACAACAAAAATTTATTTCTTGTGGTTCCAGAGGCTGCAAGTCCAAGCTCTGGGCTCCAGTATGGTCAGTTCTAGTGAGGGTCTTCTTCCTGGTTGCAGAGTGTCCACTTCTCCTTGTATCTCCACATGGCAGAAAGAGGGAGGGCAAGAAAGTTCTCTGGGGTTCCCTTTACAAGGTCACTCATCCCATTCATGAGGGTTCCACCCTTATGACCTAATTACCTTCCAAAGGACCCACCTCCAAATACCATCACATTGCAAATTCGATTTTAACTTATGAGTTTTAGGGGGACACTAATAGTCCATCCCACTACCCTTCTGATTTTTCAGACAAGTTCCCCTTTTTTGTCTGGAATGGAGAGAGGCTTTTCTTGCAGAGAAGGCCCAGCTAACTCCCTTCTTTTACGACATAAGTTCCAGTGTGCAGACAAATTATATTAATTATCTACTGCTACATAATAGATTACCCCAAAACATAGTGGTTGAAACCAAACTTTTATTATCTGTGGATTTCTGTGGGTCAGGAGTCTGGGAACACTTCAGTTGAATGGCTGACTCAGGCTCTCTCATGTGGTTGCAACTAAGGTTTTGGCTGGAGCTGCAGTCCTCTCTGAAGGCTTGGTGGGGTAAGGGAGCTGTTCCTGAGATGGTCACTCATTTGTCATTTGGCAGGAGATTTCGGTTCCTAACCATGGGCATTGCTTCTTAGGCTATTGGAATGTCCTTACAAAATGGAAGCTGGCTTCCTACAGAGCAAGATGGAAGAGGGACGGAGATGGAAGCTGCATTATCTTTGTCTTTTATGATGTAGCCTCAAAATTAACACATCATTTCTGCAATTTCTACTCATTGGAAGCTAGTCATTAGGACCAGCCCACATTCAAGAGGAAGCATTGTCAAAGAATTTGAGGTCATATTTAAAACGTCCTTATATTTAAAATACCAATAACGATAGATATCAAATACATGGCAGATTAGGGAAGGAGGTTGATTTCCAAATAAGCCAGGGTCTTTGTTCTCTGTCCTTTGAATTCAGAGTGTCTTCGTTCAATGTCCTTTTTTCTCTGTCCAGTTGACCCTTCCTGGAAAGAGATTTGAAATTTCCAGTTTCCAACAATGTTGAAAACAGGCCCGGAAATGGAAGGAAGAGAAAATCGTTATGGCTCATACCACAAGCTCTTATTGAATGCCTTCATTATGCTGCATCCTACTTGGGCATTAGAAGTAAAGCGAAGAGTAACACAAATCTCTGTTCTTGGGGTACCTGCTGTCTAGTGGAAAGAGTAATAAAGAGAACATAAGAATAAAATAGGATAAGGTGGTCTTTACCTCACCCCCTATTTTCCATGTATATCCTTTTCTTTCCCAGAAATTATCACGAATAGGATTTTATCAGGTATTTGTTTGTTTTACTTATTTATTAGTGTTTCTTCCCACTGTATTCCTAGGACCTAGCCCAGTGGCTGCTATATGGGAACACTCAGTAAATACTTGTGAATGAATAACTGTGATGAGGTAAGCACAGTGAACTATGGCAGCAAGCAGGAGGGATGCCCAACTCAGCCTTGAAGGAGGCTTTCCTGGAGGAAGCACTCCTGTGTTGAGATTTGAGGTGAGAATTGGAGTTAGCAGGGTGGAGCAAGGGCATGTTGTTCCCACCCTCCAGGTACAGCATTCCAAACTGAAAGAGAGTCCAGTGCATCCAAGGGGCTGCAAAGACTTCCATATGCTGGAGGAGAGAAGCAGGGGTTGGCGGAGGGTGGGGTTAGGAGAGTGGAGGGAGGATTGCAGAGGGAGGAGTGAAAGATAAGGGAAAGATACAGCAGGATCAGGTTATTAAGAACTTACCAGCAGGGCACAGTGGCTCATCCCTGTAATCCCAGCACACTGGGAGGCTGAGGCAGAAGGAATACTTGAGCCCAGGATTTCAAGACCAGCCTGGGCACCATAGCCAGACACCATCTCTAAAAAAATAAAATAAAAAATTAGCCAGGCATTGTGAGACGGGAAGATTGCTTGAGCTCAGGAGTCAAGGCTGCCATGAGCTGTATTTGTGCCATTGTATTCCAGCCGGGTGACATAGTGAGACCCTGTTTCAAAACAAAAAACAAACAAAAACTTGTGAGAAAATCTGAGGAATAGAAATTTCATCATAAAAACAATGGGGAACTATTGAAGGTAATGAAGTAAGGCAGGGGTCCCCAACCCCAGGGCCATGGACCGGTACTGGTACAGCAGGAGGTGAGTGGCAGGGGAGTGAGCATTATTGCCTGAGCTCCACCTACTAATGCTGTGGCTGATCTGACAGATTCTTATAGGAGCGTCAACCCTATTGCAAACTGCGCATTTGAGGGATCTAGGTTGTGTGCTCTCTATGAGAATCTAATGTCTGATGATTTGTGGTGGAACAGTTTCATCCCAAAACCATCCCCCCACCATTCGTGGAAAAACTGGCTTCCATGAAACCGGTCCCTGGTGCCAAAAAGATTGGGGGCGACTGAAGTAGGGGAATGACAAGGCCAGGTACCAAAGTCTTTGAAGTTCTAGCAAGGATGTGAAGGGCCACCCCAGGTTCTCCTCTAAGGTTTGAGAATGGGGGTTATATATGCCCCAAGAGCTAGAATCCAGAAGGTAACACTGCAGAAGGTATTTCTGGACAATCTTTCTGTAGGGTGCACAGCCTCCCAGACCCATCTCGTGGTGAGGGGCAAGTGTCCTACCATGGGGGCAGGTGCATGGTGCATCAGATGCCTCAGGCCATGAGGTCAGGTCTCACTAGGCCCCCACCCAGAGGCCCTCACAGCATTCAGAAAGTAAGCCCTGGCTCTTCCATGCTCCCTGGCTGCCTTTCAAAAGCAGAGTTGCTCCTCGAACCTAATTATTTTACTAGAGCTTAGAGACTATGAGTTGGAAAACACATTTTTTCTACAACATAAGAAAATGTGCTGCTTCCTAGGCACCCTCCTCCCCACTGGACTTATTTGTGGAATGTGCAGAATAATAGAAAAGCAGTTTTCTCTTAGAGGCATATGGAAAATGGTTTGTTTGCTTAGAAGAAAATCATAACTTGCTGTCTTTTTTCCCCCAGAGGAAAATTAAAACTCTCACACATTTAATCTTTTCAATCCTTTGTTCGTCTTGTACTTTTGAATCAAAACGTAGGCATGGGGAAAGTTAGTGCTTGTTGATGAAGAGGAAATCTTAGTTGAAGGGTTAGATCTACTGGCCGAACTATAGGGATTCTGAACTCAAATTACCCATCAAGTGTCTCCAAGGCAAGAATGTGGTCATTGGGCCACAAAGCCAAATGACACGTCTTTCACAGGAGAGAAGATGGTGTTGAATATATATGGCGTGTTTAGCTTGCAGGGTGATTGGAGTCGGGAGACAGGCAGTAGATAAGGATAAAGTGTGAAAAATTCAAACAATCTCCAAAGCAAGCTTGAAATAATCCTTCCTTTGGAGACCTGGTCTTCCCAGTCAAGATGCAAACAAAAGAAAATGGCCTGTCTTTATTTGGTTCACTGGTCCAGAAAATGTGCCCTGGGAAGATAAGGCCGAGCTGGGTGTTTGAGGTGAATACAAGGAGCCAAGAGGCCTTGTTGGGGATTTCTTTCACCCAAGAACTTCCTAAACCTGGAGCGTTCTCCTTGAAGAGGACACTGGAGCTGGCTGCTGCTGCTTTCTTTAAACAGACTCAGAAGTTCTTTTCTTGGTAACACGAGAAACTATATGCAGGGCTTCAAGGACACATTCTGAATGATGATTTATGCTAAGTTGTTTAGCCTCTCCTCCCCGCCAATAATTCTTCCAGAGAGCATTTAGCTGATTTGGAAAAAGTATATCAAATCCCCCAGAGAACAGGGTGTATCTTAACAGTGGATGAATGTAATTCTGGTCATTATCTAAATGCTCAAAGCTTTACAAACTGAGTAACCCAAATGCACAGAAAACTGCTTGTCAGCTTCTGAAGAGGGGAGAAAGTTTGTTACTCCTGAGGGGAAGCTGAGAGTGGATGGGGAAAATGGAGATTGATTCTCTGGACAGGCCATTTGAATAGCCTTGTGGGTATTTCCAGAAGTGAACTAAATTCATCACACCTTCCTCCTTAAAAAAACACCTTACTAAGCAACTAATATTTGCCAAGAGTTTTGCTCAGTGCTTGTAAAGGTTTACCAAAACCTGGCCAGTAAATCTTGAGCAAAGGAAACACATGTGCTAAGCTCCACATTCAATTTAGCTTTCTGCCAGGGACACTTTCTAAGTGGCAGCACAAGGAATTAAATCCCACAAGACAGCACTAGTTTCACTGGGTGGAGTCAGCAGAGTTCAGACTTCAGGCTGTGGAAGTGGCTGGAATTTCTTTTTTCTTTTTTTGAGATGGAGTCTCACTCTGTCACCCAGGCTGGAGTGCAGTGGCGTGATCTCGGCTCACTGCAACCTCTGACTCCCTGGTTCAAGCGATTCTCCTGCCTCAGCCTCCTGAGTAGCTGGGATTACAGGCGCCCGCCACCATGCCCAGCTAATTTTTGTATTTTTTAGTAGATATGGGGTTTCAACATGTTGGCTAGGATGGTCTTGATCTCCTGACATTGTGATCTGCCCGCCTCGGCCTCCCAAAGGGCTGGGATTACAGGTGTGAGCCACCATGCCCAGCCAGTGGCTGGAATTTCAATAGAAGGATATCAAAGAAGAAAGAGCCAAACAGGGAAGATGCCCTAGAAATCTGCCTATGGGTCCCCTTCAGTCTTTGGTCAAATACAAAGCTGCACATGTGCAACAGGACCCTGCATAGCCTAGCAGAGGGTACCTACTGAGGGTCTGTGCGCTGGCTGGAGATTCTTGAGGTTACACAGCAATGACAGACATTGGATTTCTGGCCAATCATAGTTCAGCTCTATCACTGAACACTCTGGGCATTCAGTTGAGATCCCAGAAAGGCCAATCCTTAGAAACAGGACTGCTCTAGCCCTAGCCTATGGGCTATTCCTGGCCTACTTTAACAAAGCTTAGAAACAAGCCTCAGCAGGATCAAGCTAAACCACAAATAAATTAAATGCTTGCCTTAGCAATACTCAACACCCTAAAGGAAAACAACATAATCCAAACTCAACATTGTAGCATTCATAAGGCCCAGCATTCAATAAAAAAATTACTAGACATACAAAGTGGTAAGAAAACGTGACCCACAACCCAGCGAATAAAGTCAGTAGAAATGGGACTAGAGATGCCACAGTTATTGACAGTAGCAGACAAAGACTTTAAAACAGCTAGTAGAAATAAGTTCAAGAATTAAAAGGAAGGATGGACACATTAATAAAGAAATCTCAATGGAGAAAGAGAAACCTTAAAAAGAGACAAGTGGAAATTACAGTACTAGAAAGCATACTTCATGAAATAAAAAATTCACCGTATCTAATGCTTAACATTAGATTGAATAATGCATAAGAAAACATCAGTGAGCTTGAAAACAGGTCAACAGAAATTATCTAAACTGCACTGAGAAAAAAAGCATTAAAAAGTATAAAGACTCGGTGATCTGTCGGAAAACATCAAGCAGTATAATACATGTGTAAGTGGAGTCCCAAAAGAAGAGAGAAAAAAATGAGACAGGAAAAGAAGTTGAAGTAATGGCCACTTTCCCCAAAATTTGATGAAAAAATGTCAACATACAAATCCAAGAAATTCAATAAAACTTATTTAAGAGAAGCACAAAGAAAGCCACACCTAGGCATATCATAATCAAATTGCTAAAAACTGAAGATAAAGAACATTTAAAAAGTAGCCAGGGAAAAAAGACAGGTTACAAAAAAAGGAATAATGAGAAGTATTCCTATTTTTTTTTATCAGACATAAAACTAGTCAGAGGATAATTGGCAGCATCTTTGAAGTGATTAAATAAAAAACAAACAAAACTATAATAAAAAACCCCAGTCAACCCATAAATCTATATCCAGGAAAAAGGTAGTCTTAAAAAGTAGAATAAAGGCATTTCCAGAGAAGCAAAAGCTGGATGAATCATTAACATACATGCATTTCAAGAAATGTTAACGGAAGTCCTCAGGCAGAAAGAAAATGATTCCGGATGATATTAGATCTGCATTAAAAAGACTACCAGAAATGGAAAATATGTGGGGCATAAATATAAAAGACATTTTTTCTTATTTCTTAGTTTCTTTAAAAAAACATTTGAGTGCTTAAACCAAAAATAGTAGCAAAGTATTGTGAGGTGTATAATCTGTGTAGAAGCAAAATGTATGACAATTGCACAAAAGATGAGGGTGGGTAAATGAAAGTATATTGTTGTAAAGTTCTTACATTTATGTGAAGTGGCATAAAGTTAATTCAAGGTAGACAGTGATAAATTACGTTTATTTTAATCCCCAAAGCACCCACTAAAAGTTAAAACAAAGAGGCATAGCTAAAAAGCTAATAGAGAAGATAGAATGAAATACTAGAAAACACCCAACTGATCCAAAAGAAGACAGGAAGAGGAAAATAAGAAACAAAGGACAAGGGGACAAAGAGAAAACAAATAGCAAGATGGTAGAATCAAACCCAATCAAATTACTGATTATATTCTATCTAGCTTGACTAAACCTTCCAATGAAAAGAGCAAGAGAGCTAGACTAGATTTTAAAAAGTGAGATTGAACTATATGATGTTTATAAGCACATGCTTTAAATATGAAGATACATACAACTTAAAAGAGAATAGAAAAGAGAACCATGTGTTGACTAATTGTAAAAACACAGGAGTGGCTATATTGCTATCAGACAAAGACAAGGAGAATTACCAGGGATAGAGAGTGACATTACATAATAAGAAAAGAATCAATTCATTGAGAAGACATGCAATTCCTGAACACTCGCTAACAAACTTCAATGTATATGAATGCAAAACTGATAGAATTGAAAGGAGAAATAGACAAATTAATAATAAGTGTTGAAGAGATTTACTCTCCTCTCTCAGTAACTGATACAACATACAAACAAAAATCAGAAAACATGTAGAGGATGTGCATAACTCTAAACAAACAGAACCTAATTGACCTTTTTTTGTTTTTGTTTTTTGGAGACAGAGTCTTGCTCTGTCACCCAGGCTGGACTGCAGTGGTGCGATCTCAGCTTACTGCAACCTCCGCCTCCTGGGTTCAAGTGATTCTCCTGCCTCAGCCTCCCGAGTAGCTGGGACTATAAGAGTGCACCACCAGCCCAGCTAATTTTTTTGTATTTTCAGTAGAGATGGGGTTTTGCCATGTTGCCCAGGCTGGTCTCGAATTCCTGAGCTCAGGTTATCTGCCCACCATAGCCTCCCAAACTGCTAGGATTACAGGCGTGAACCACCACACCTGGCCTCCTAATTGGCATTTTATCAAACATTACTGAACAATTACAGAATACACATTATGTTCCCGTGTACATTTATGTTTATGTACTTTATTTTTTATGTTTACATGTATGTACTTTATTCACCAAAATAGACCATAAATTGGGCCATCAAATGTGTCTCAGTATATTTCAAAGGACGGAAATAATAAAAAATATATCCTTTTTTTTTTTTTTTTTTTTTTTTTTTTGAGATGGAGTCTCGCACTGTCACCCAGGCTGGAGTGCAGTGGCACCATCTCGGCTCACTGCAACCTCTGCCTCCCGGGTTCAAGCAATTCTCTGCCTCAGCCTCCCAAGTAGCTGGGATTACAGGTGCCCACCACCATGCCTGGATAATTTTTTTGTATTTTTAGTAGAGATGGGGTTTCACCATCCTGGCCAGGCTGGTCTTAAACTCCTGACCTCATAATCCACCTGCGTCAGCCTCCCAAAGTGCTGGGATTACCAGCGTGAGCCACCGCACCCAGCCAAGAATATATTCTTTAATAACAACAGAATTAAAATAAAAATCAAGATAAAAAAACTTTGGCAAATCCAAATATTTTGAAATTAAACCACATTGCAAAATAACCCATGAATCAAATCACAAGAAAAGTTTTAAAATCTTTTGTCCTGATAAAACCATAGCATATCCAAATTTGTGAGATTCGGTTAATGAAGCATTTGGAGTAAAATTATGGTCTTAAATGTTTATATCAGAGAAAAGAAGGCTTACAGAAGTAAATCCATGCATTTGTGGTCAACTGATTTCCATCAAAGGTGCCAAGAACACACAATGGAGAAAGGACAGTCTCTTCAATAAATGGTGTTGACTGGATATCCATAAACAAAAGAATGAAATTGAACCCTTATCTCACACCATAGACAAAAAATCAATACAAATGGATTAAAGACTTAAACATAAGACTCCAAATTGCAAATCTCTTAGGAGAAAACGGAAAAAACTTCTTGACATTGGTCTAGGCAACATTTTTTTGGATATGTCCTGAAAAGCACAGGCAACAAAAGTAAAAATGGACAAATGTGATTATATCAAACTGAAAAGCTTCTGCACAGCAAAGGAAACAATTGACAAAGCAAGGAGATAATCGGTGGAATGCAAGAAAGCATTTTGCAAACCATACAGCCTTTAAGGGGTTAATACCCAAAATATAAAAGGAACTCAAAAAGCTCAATAACAAGAAAACAAATAACCAGATTCAAAAATGGGCAAAGGACTTGAATAGATATTGTTCAAAAAAAGGCAGACAAATGGTCAACAGGTACATGAAAAAATGTTCAATATCAACAATCATCAGAGAAATGCAAATTAAAACCACAATGAGATATCACCTCACACCTGTGAGAATGGCTATTATCAAAAAGACAAAAGAAGGCCAGGTGTGATGGCTCACCCTGTAATCACAGCACTTTAGGAGGCCGAGGAGGGTGGATCACCTGAGATCGGGAGTTTGAGATCAGCCTGGCCAACACGGTGAAACCCTGTCTCTACTAAAAATACAAAAATTAGCTGGGTGTGGGGGTGCATGCCTGTAATCCCAGCTACTCAGGAGGCTGAGGCAGAAGAATCGCTTGAACCTGAGAGGCAGATGTTGCAGTGAGCCGAGATCGTGCCACTGCACTCCAGCCTGGGTGACAGAGCGAGACTCCATCTCACACACACACACACACACGCACACACACACACACACACAAAAGACAAAAGATAACAAGTGTTGGCAAGGATGTGGAGAAGAAGGAACCCTTGCACACTATTGGTGGGCATTAGCACAGCCATTAAGCTGTGGTGGGCATTAGCACAGCCATTAAGAAAAACAGTATGGAGCTTTTCCAAAACATTCAAAATAGAACCATCATATGATCCAGCAATCTCACTTTTGGTTATATATCCAAAGGAATAGAGATATGGAGAGATATAAAAAGATAACTGCACCCGGCTGGGCGCGGTGGCTCATGCCTGTAATCCCAGCACTTTGGGAGGCCGAGGTGAGTGGATGACGAAGTCAGGAGATCGAGACCATCCTGGCTAACGTGGTGAAACCCCGTCTCTACTAAATATACAAAAAATTACCCATGTGTGGTGGCGGGTGCCTGTAGTCCCAGCTACTTGGGAAGCTGAGGCAGGAGAATGGCGTGAACCCAGGAGGTGGAGCTTGCAGTGAGCAGAGACACGCCACTGCACTCCAGTCTGGGTAACAGAGCGAGACTCTGTCTCAAAAACAAAAACAAACAAACAAAAAACAAAAAAAACCGCACCCATGCCCGTTGCAGCATTATTCACAGTAGCCAAGATACAGCCAAAGTGTTTATTGATGGATAAAATAAATATGGTGTATATGTGTGTATGCACACACAATCGAATACTATTCAGCTTTTAAAAAGAAAATCCTGTCATTTATGACACCATGGGTAAATCTGGAGGATATAATGCTAAGTGAAATAAGCCAGACACAGAAAGACAACTACTCCATGATCTCACTTATTTGTGATATCTGAAAAAGTTGAACTCATAGAAGCAGAGTAGAATGGTAGTTACCAGGGGCTGGAGGGAATGGTGCTTGGGATGCCAAAATGTTGGTCAAAGAGTACAAAGTTTCAGTGAGACAGGATGAATAAGTTTTGGAGATCTTATTCTAGAGTAGTAGCCATAGTTTATAATCAGGTACTGTATACTTGAAAGTTGCTAAAAGAATAGATCTTAAATGTTCTCACTACAAAAAAATAAGTATATGAGATGATGGCTGTTAATTATCTTGAATTAATCACTTCTCAATGTGTACATGAATCAACAGATCACATTGTACACCATAAATATATACAATTTTTATTTATCAATTATACCTTATTTAAGCTGGGGGAAAATTTTAAAAAGAAAAGAAGGCTTAAAATCAATGATCTAAGTCTTCATCTTAAGAATCTAGGAAACAGAAATTATACCTTCAGTACATACAAGGAAAGAATAAAGAGTGTAAATCAGTGAAATAAAAAGTAGATTAGGAAGTCAACAAAACCAAAGTTCATTCTTTGAAAGGAGTAATAAAACTGATAGACCTCTAGCTACACTGATCAAGAAAAAAAGAGAACACAAATTACAAATATCAAGAATGAAATATGAGAGACCACTGCAGGTTTCTACAGTTATTAAAAGACAAAAGACTATTTCTTAACAATCTCATATCAATAAATTACAATATTTAGATAAAACTGACAAATTCTTTAAAAGATGCAAATTATGAAGCTCACAAAATATCAAGCATAAAATATGAATAACTCTATATCTGTTTAAAAACTTAAATTTATAATTAAAAGCCTTGCCACAGGAAAAATTCAGGGCCACATGACTTCACTGATAAATTCTATCAAACATTTAAGGAAGAAATAATGCCAATATCACACAAACTTTTTCAGAAAATAGTGGAGAGGGAACACTTTCTGACTTATAAGGTGTACATAACCTTAAATACTAAGGATATTACAAGAAAAGAATTATAGACCAATATCCCTCCTGGCCTAGATACAACATTTCTTAATTTAATACTAGACAAATTGAATATTTTAGAAAGAAATAATTCATCATTACCAAATAGAGTGTATCCTAGTTATGTAAGATTTAACTTTAGAAAGTTTGCACGATATTAGGTCAGTATGCAAAAATCAATTGCATTTATATGACAGAGCAACAAACAGTTGGAAAATGAAATCAAAGACTCAATATCATTTACCATAGCATCCCCAAAATAAAATACTTAGGGACAAAGTTAATGAAAGATATTTAAGGTCTCCATGTTAATAAGTGCAAAACTGCTGAGAAATATTAAAGACCTTCATAAATAGATATTTCATGTTCAAGGGTGGAAAGATTCAACATTATTAACATGTCAGTTCTCCCCAAATTACTCTATAGGAACATCACAGTTATCATAGAGCAGACCCTTTTTTTCTGCTGATTCTAAGATTAATATAGAAGTGTGCAGTCCTAGAATAGTCGCGTAATCTTGAAAAAGTACCTAGTTAGATGACTTATAAACCACCTGATTCCAAATCTTTCCTTTTTTTTGTTTTGTTTTGTTTTGTTTTGTTTTTTGAGACAGGGTTGTGCTGTGTCCCCCAGGCTGTAGTGCAGTGGTGCGATCTCAGCTCACTGCAACCTCTGCCTCCTAGGTTCAAGCGATTTTCCTGCCTCAGCGTCCTCAATAGAAAGCTACAGTAATCAAGAGAGCATGGTATTGGTGCAAAAGCAGATAAATTGATCAATGAAACAGATGACTAAATCCAGAAATAAGTTTATATATGTGGAGTTTTAATTTGAGAGCTAAGGCAATTCAGTGGTGAAAGGAAAAACAAAATTAAGGTGCCGGAATAACTGGATAGCCATGTGGGGAAAAAAAAGACTCTTGATTCCACCTTATACCATATCCAAATATTAGTTCAATATAGATCATAGACCTAAATTAAAACGCTAAAACTGTACAACTTCCAGAAGAAACATACAAAAATGTCATTCCTAATTTGAGATAGACAACAATTTCTTAGAAAATACACAGAAAGGCCAGGCACGGTGGCTCATTCCTGTAATCCCAGCACTTTGGGAGGCTGAGGCAGGCAGATCACGAGGTCAGGAGTTCGACACAAGCCTGGCCGATGTGGCGAAACCCTGTCACTACTAAAAATATAAAAATTAGCCGGGCGTGGTGCACGCCTGTAGTTCCAGATACTTGGGAGGCTGAGGCAGGAGAATCGCTTGAACCCAGGAGGTGGAGGTTTCGGTGAGCTGAAATTGCGCCACTGCACTCCAGCCTGGGTGACAAAGTGAGACTCTGTCTCAAACACACACACACACACACACACACACACACGCATGCACACAAGACACTAGCCATAAAAGAAAATAATTAATAAATGGGGTCTTATAAAAATAAAAACTTTTGCTCTTTGAAGATATTTTTTAAAAAATCAGTAAGATTGAAAGAAAACATTTGCATATACATTCTGAGAATTCAAAATATATTAAGAAATTTTACAACTCATTAAGAAGACAATCAAATATGAATAATGGCCAAAAGACTTGCACAGCCACTTCTCAAACAAAGATATAGAAATAGCCAGTAAGCACATGAAAAAGGTCTCAACATCATTAGTAGTCAATTAAAAGTAAATTAAAACCATAATGCGGTACCATTATACCACCACCAGAATGACTACAATTAAAAAGTTTGACAATACCTAGTATTGGTAAAGTTGTGGCATAAGTGGAACTCTCATTTCTGGTAAGTGCGTAAAATGGTGAACACACTTTGGAAATCTGTTATTAAAAGAGGAAAAATCAATATTTTTCTATACTCTCCCAACACTTCACTTCTGACATCAAATGTGTGGGCTTTCTCCACATCAACAAAAAATTCTTTACGTCTCCAAACACCCCCTGAGTGTCCCACAATTCACTTAAATTGTGGCATTATCTATTTAGGGCTGGCATCATGCTCCACAGATTAAGGGCTCAGTCCAACAAGACTGCCTCCACTTCAGTTGCCAATTGCAAGTCTCAGGTTGTCACCTGTACTTCTGATCAACTTGCTGTACAAAGGAGAGGTTCACACAACCCAATCTCCTCCTCAGATTCCGACTCAAAATTTTTTTAGGACTCACAGAACTCAGGGAAATGCTTATTTACATTTATTGGCTTATTATAAAGGATATCCGGATAAAGGATATCTGGAATGAATGAACAGCCAGATGAAGAGATGCGTAGAACTGGGTCCAGAAGGGGCCTGAGAATAGGAGCTTTTGTCCCCATAAAGCAGAGGTGTGCCACCCTCCTGGCACGTGGATATGTTTACCAACCTGGAGATTTTGTACTCCATCTTTTAGGGTTTTTTATAGAGGCTTCATGTAGGCATGACCAATTATTAACTCAATTTTATCCTCCCTACCATCCAAGGAGGACGGGGGATGGACCTGAAAGTTCCAAGCCTCTTATCATGGCTTGGTGTGTTTCTGGTGACCAGTCCTCATTCTGAAGCTATCCAGGAGCCCCACCAAGAGTCACCTCGTTAGAACAAGAGATGCTCCTATCACTCAGGAAATTCCAAGGGAATTAGCAGATCTGTGTTGGGAACCAGTGTTAAAGACCAATTTTTTTTTTTAAAGATGCTCCTAGCACTCCTATCTTTCAGAAAATTCCAAGAGTTTTAGGAGCTCTGTGTCAGAAACCTGGGGGTAGAAACCAAACATAGTATTTTTTTATGATGCCACAGTTAGTTTCTTATAAAATTAACTATGCATATACTCTGTGACCCAGCATTTCCAATTTTCAGTATTTACCCAAGAGAAAGGAAAATACATATCTGAGCACAAAGACTTATGTGTGATGTGCATTGTAGCTTTGTTCATAATGGTCCCAAAGTGGAAATAATCCAAGTATCTGTAATAGGAGAATGAATAAACAAACTTCAGCATATTCAGAGAAATGGAGTACTACTCAGCAATAAAGAACAGCAGACACACACTATGATCTCAGAAACGTGATGTGGAATGAAAGAAGATGGAACCAAAGAATACGTTTTGTGTAATTCCATTTATAAAGAAGTCACAACAGTAGTTGCGAAACCACAACAGTAGTTGCTGAAGGCTGAGGGTAAAGATGGGGAAGAGAGAACTTTAGGGGTCATGGAAATGCTCTAGGTTTTTTTCAGGGTGTGGGTTACAGAATATGCATCTGTTAGAACTTGTCAGACTTTACACTTAACATCTGAGCATGCCCTGAAAAACCAAAACAACAAAGATGAAAACTAGCATCATGGCTCAGGCTTTCATGTCAGATGGACCAAGTTTCAAGTTCTGACTCTGCCACATATTAGTGGGCTGACCTTGGGAAAATAAAGTGTTCTTAAAATCCAGTTTCCTCAGCTGTAAAAAGGGAAGTGATAATGAAATAGAATAATTTATGAGAGCATACAGTGTAATAAATGCCCACTAAATTGTGGTTTTATTTTTGTTTTATTTTATTTTATTATTATCTTTTTAAGACAAGGAAGGTCTCACCCTGTCACCCAGGCTGGAGTTGAGTGGCATAATCACAGCTTACTGCATCTTCTGCCACCTGGGCTCAAGCAATCCTCCCACCCCAGCCTCCCAAATAGCTGGGACCACAAGTGCAAGCCACCACACCCAGCTAATTTTTTGCAGAGACAAATGTATTAGTCCATTTTCAACTGCTATAAAGACATACCCGAGACTGGATAATTTATAAAGAAAGAGGTTTAATTGACTCACAGTTCTGAATGGCTGGAGAGGCCTCAAGAAACTTACAATCATGGTGGTGGGGGAAGAGGCATGGTGGCAGGTGAGAGAGAATGCCTGTGTCAGTGCAGGAAAAACTACCATTTATAAAACCATCAGATCTCATGAGAGTTCACTATTAGGAGAACAGCATGTGGGAAACTGCCCTATAATCTAATTACTTCCCACCAGGTCTCTCCCTAAACACCCGGGGATTACAATTCAAGATGAGATTTGGGTAGGGACACAAAGCCTAACCGTATCAATGAGGTTTCACCATGTTGCCCAGGCTGATCTTGAACTCCTGGCCTCGAGCAATCCACCAGCCTCAGACTCTTAAAATGCTGGGATTACAGGCACGTGCCAATGCACTCAGCCTATTTCAGAATAATAAAAAGACTTGTGACACTGTAGAAAATCATACAATTATAGAAAATAACCATAATCCCATCCAGAGATAATCACTGTAAACCTTTAGACATATGTTTTTTCTATTTATATATGTTCTATTTTTTTCTATGCATATAGTTGAGTTTATAATGAATATACAATGTCAATTTCTTCTTTCATTAATTAATAAAAGCATGCTTATATTATTAGATATGCTTGTAAGCCAAAAACATTGAAAAAGTAAGGTTGTGAACTTCAGGGAATCTGTCTCCCCACCCCACTAGTGGACCAATCAGAGTGAGCTTTTTAAAAAGCAGATCTGTTGTGTTACTTCCTAAACACCTCAATAGAGTCCATTGCCCTTAGAATCAAGTTCAACTTAACAGGGGTACAAGGGCCCTTCACGATTGGGGTTTGAGTGACCTAGACTGGGTCTGGCTCCACTTCTAGTTGCATTTCTGTGGCCCTTCTCCATGTGTCTCTCAACCTCCTTCGCCCATCAAGCTAGCTGGGGCACGTTCTCCTCATGGCAGTGGCTTATGGAGGCACATGGAACGCCTAATACCTAAGACCTAAGCTATGAAAATGCCTCTTAGGATTGGCATAGAGACACACCTACCAGATCTCACAGCCAAGTCAGAGTAAATGGGGAGAGAGGCTCTCCTCATCCTGGCCACAGCAAAGTTGAGGCTGCAGGGAGTGGTGAAGAACTGGAGCCAATAGCTCAATCTACTGCCACCCCCATGTGCTCCCGGCTGACTGACCAGGTTCACCTCCTCCAGTGTGTCACCTGCTCCTCTTCCTACCTTCAGACATCCGACATTTCTTTGTAGATTGCCAGCTTCTCACTTAACTCCTCCTTGACTCTTTCTGAGTCCAGGTCAGGCCAGGTGTCCTGCCGTGTGTTCCCGTAGGACTCTGCACCTCCCTATCATAGCTCTTGCTACACTGCTTTGTGCTTGGATGTTCACTTGTCTATACCCTGGACCCCTTATCTCTTTTGAAGGTTTAGGTGAGCTTGTCCTTGACATGTGAGGTCAAGAATGGGGAAATTTTGTTCCTGAGTACAATCTTTAGTTTCCTGAAATAGAGTACTGGGTATTTCATGCTTTGGGTTAGAAACC
Source organism: Homo sapiens (assembly GCF_000001405.40). Classification (NCBI taxonomy): domain Eukaryota; kingdom Metazoa; phylum Chordata; class Mammalia; order Primates; family Hominidae; genus Homo; species Homo sapiens. The sequence goes on along the minus strand of NC_000011.10, from coordinate 35,876,774 downwards.
TTTGGAAGGGCCCAACTCCAAGTGAGAAAACACACCTCTTTCTTTGGGTTACAGGCAGAAACTAGACTGTGATGGATATCTGCTGCTTTTGCTTGCCCACATCCCTTTGGCCTTTAAATATATATATATATAATAGCAGCTGGTCTTTGGGGAATCCCTTCTTTACCACTGTATACAGGCTTCTGTCCTTGCTAATCAGATGTCCTCCCCCAGTAGTATGAATCAGGTATACAGGCTTCTGTCCCTGCGTCCTGTATCCCCTGCCTTGGCTTAACATTGAGCTAATCAGATGCTCTCACCCAGTTAGGAATCAGGTGGAGCAACCTGATAGGAAAATCCTTTGAAAAGACTTTTCTCAAAGGTAGTCCTTTGCTGTAACTGCCCATTATTAGTTTCTGCTACCCAGACTCCCAGAGCTACTGGGGTTCCTACTGTTGGCTTAGCTTTTCCTGGAATTTGCTATGCTATCATATAGCCTTTTGATAAATTCTTGCATTTTGTTTTTATTAAATTAACCAGATCTCATTTCTGTTACTTATCAGGAAAGTAAGCAAACAAAAAATACCATCACTGACACCACAACCAGATGCTCAAAAACTTCAGAGCCCACTCTGTATGTTTCCCTCGGGTCCACCAGTGAGGGGTAAGAAGTTTGGCAGTTCCTATTTTGGGTTAGTTGGCCTTTGAGCTCTTGTAAAGCTCCTTTTTTTTTTTTTTTTTTTGAGACGGAGTCTCTCTCTCTATCACCCAAGCTGGAGTACAAGGCTGCAATCTCCGCTCACTGCAACCTCTGCCTTCCAGGTTCAAGCGATTCTTCTGCCTCAGCCTCCCGAGTAGCTGGGACTACAGGTGGGTGCCACCATGCCTGGCTAATTTTTTAAAAAAATATTTTTAGTAGAGATGGGGTTTCACCATGTTTAGCAAGATGGTCTTGATCTCCTGACCTCGTGATCTGTCCGCCTTGGCCTCCCACAGTGCTGGGATTACAGGTGTGAGCTACCGCACCAGCCTGTAAAGCTCCTTTTAAGAAGTGAATCTCTGGATGATTCAAGACTGGGCATTTCTATTGCATAAATCTATCCTTTGCTAAGGAGTGAGAGAAACTTCCTGTGGCAGCTGGAATAACAAAGTGGCTACTGAATACTATGTCCTGCACATTAAAAATATATCCCCATTATTATACTTACAGAGTGGGTCTTTAGAGTATTCTTAGAGCTTTGAGGACAGACAGTGTGTGGAAATTACCAGGGTAGGCAGGCTAGAAGGTGGCCTGGGAGCCACCATGTTATATAAAATAAATCCCCTTGCTGTCTATCTATGGATTAATCTACATATGAATCTTTCCATCAGTCATCCATCTACCTATTGTCTATCTACCACTAGACCTGGATGAACTTTCACAGACCCTAGGCATGTTCACATTTTTCATAAGCTAAACAGCTAGGGCATGGAAGCACTACCATGTGGTTAGCCTGGCTTGCTGAAGAGGAGGCCTGAGGCACAGCTGACTGTGGGCTGAGCCTCCCTTTGTGATGAAGCGCCCACTTGCTCGTGACATCGGAGAAGAAAAGCGTGCACCCCGTAGTCTCTGCTTGCCAGAAAGTACTCTTCTGGTGGAAAAACAAATTATGGGATCCTGTCCTAATTTGGGACAAATGACACCTCTAGTTTATTCTTAATTGTCCTTGTATGCAAATTTTCCTTTTCCTTTCTAATTTGTCATGTGAGCAAAGTTAAATTAACCCGAACATGTGGTAACAGACTCGACTGATTTTAAGCTCTTCACTTCCTTCCCTTAGGCATTTAATCAGTTCTATTTTTTTGAACTAGATTTGTTTGGCAAGTCAAAGAGAAGATAACAAGATTGGGGGCTGGGGGGAGGCAGTTTTTTAAAGATAGAAGTACAAAAGGAGCTGCCATCTGAAGTCTCAAATTAGGATGGAAAGCACATTCTCTGCAGCTTTATCTTACTATAATTGAAAGTTTAAAACAGAGTGGATTTCATTTGAATCAAGAGGCTGCAATTAACTTTGTTTTTCTAAGAGGTGCCCTTTTAGTATATCATATAGCATTAATGCCTGCTTTTCACTACTGACTTGGAGTAAAGGGTGTATTCCATTGTGAATATATGCCATTTAAAAAAATATGTTTCATTTTAATAGAATTTTGAAAGGCAACGAGGTACCACAAGGAAACATACACCCCAGGTTTTCAGAAGCCCTGGGTTCTTGGTCCTCTCCTTCATGTTAGGTTGGGGTAAAAGTAATTGTGGTTTTTGCCATTACTTTTTTTTTTTTTTTTTTTTTTTTTGTTTGTGGAGACGGAGTTTCGCTGTAGTTGCCCAGGGTGGAGTACAATGGCGCAATCTTGGCTCACTGTAACCTCTGCCTCCTGGGTTCAAGCAATTCCCCTGCCTCAGCCTCCAAAGTAGCTGGGATTACAGGCACCCGCCACCATGCCCAGGTAATTTTTGTATTTTTAGTAGAGACAGGGTTTCACCATGTTGGCCAGGCTGGTCTCGAACTCCTGACTTCAGATGATCCACCCGCCTCGGCCTCCTGAAGCGCTGGGATTATAGGCATGAGCCTCTGCGCCCGGCCTGCCATTACTTTTAATGGCAAAAACTGCAATTTCTTTTGCCCCAGCTAATACTTACCAGTTGGAGTAACCTTGCATAGGTCTCTTGCTGATGTGAGACATAATTTCTTCTTCCATAAATTATTAATCACTGCCCTGACCTGCCTAACCTACAGGGCCACTGTGCTCAATAAAAGGTAAGGCATGTCGTAAATGTAAGGTGCTGCCAAAATTCACAGGAGTGTCAGCTGGGAGCAGAGTCTGTAATTCCCAGTAGCCACCAAACCAACTTGACCTGGACATGTTCAGGAATGAAGTAAGAACCCAAGCCTTAGAGTCACCCGGGATGGACTTCCTGATTCCTCGGTTCTGAGATATGTCACTATGTATACAGTGGGGTGGGGGTAAGTTGGCCCAGGTTTCTGAAGAGTATTTGGCATTCTCTATTAAAATTCATCAAGTGTGTACCTTGTACCAGGGCTTATAATTTTAGGAAAGCATCCTGCGGAAATACCTGCACATGTGCATAAGAAATAAACATAGTTGTGGTCGGTCATGGTGGCTCCTGCCTGTAATTCCTGCACTTTGGAAGGCCAAGGCGGGTGGATCATCTGAGGTCAGGAGTTTGAGACCAAGCCGGCCAACATGGTGAAACCCTGTCTCTACTAAAAATACAAAAATTAGCCAGGCATGGTGATGGGTGCCTGCGATCCCAGCTACTCGGGAGGCTGAGGCAGGAGAATCGCTTGAACCCCGGAGGTGGAGGTTGCAGTGAGCCAAGATCACGCCACTGCACTCACACCTGGGCAACAGAGTGAGACTCCATCTCAAAAAAAAAAAAAAAAAAAAAAGTAGTTGTTATTGATGATTACTGATGGCCAGCTTCTGGGTTTTTTATACGTATTAACTCATTTAATCCTACAAAAAACCCTCTGAGGTTATTATCCCCACTTCATAGACGAGAAAACTGAGGCATAGAAAGGCAGAGTAAACCGCCCAGCATTATAAAGCTAGCAGATGGCCCCGCTGAGATCTGAAGCTGGGAGGTCTGACTGCAGATCGTGTGTGTTCATCCTCTACAAAGGTGCAGAAGCAAGTTTTGCAGAGCCTGAGTTTCAGAGAAGTTTAGAGAACCTCTTTAAAAAACACAAAATTACACACATAAGTTAGGCACACAATGAATATTTATTTGCAAAGAGAGAATAAACTACAAAAGTCACACATTTTAAAAAGCTGCCAAATACCATAATCACAAAGTTCAGAAAAATAACATAATATTCTTATTAATTTACTGCTTCATGTGCTTTTACAATGCCTTCCTTCCTACACTTTTTGGCTGCATACTCTTTGATTGCTTCTGATTCATATGACAACAATTGTGAAATATCACTTTTCATAAAGAGAGTAGGAAGATAGTTCAGTCTTTCCTATGGCATAGTAAATTGAAATCTGTTCTTTATTATTGATAGTCGTGATGAGAAAACGTGCCACTTCATACAGACATATACTAGCTGGTTGTGGTATTGCTGCAGATTTGGCCCTACAAAGAGATCTTGATAAATTTTATTCTCCCTGATTCTTGTCAAAAAAGAAAAAACCATATGGTACATTTTTTGTTGTACATGCTGAATTATTCTGTTTCTGGTAGACTTTTGTGAGAATCAAAACCCTTTTCATACCTCTGACAATTGGAACTTTCCCCAGACTAGCTTCTTGTTCTGTACATTTCAGACCAGGTCTCTTCCACTTCTGTATAATTCTGTACCTGTTGTCCTCCGGCACGTTTTTACTGAGACATGACCCAGGGTCCTGCAACTTTGGATCTTGACCCCTGTAAGTCAGCATGGGGCAGTAGTACTATTACTGGGCGTCACTCTTACGTTGTGCGGCTGGCATGCACTTACCTGCATCCTGTGACAGTAAATGAAATGTAAGCTCCCTGGAAGGGGCCTGGGCAATGAGGCGCCAGAAGCATAAACTTCTTTGGCTTTGTGGATTTGCTGCACAAAACGATAAAAGAATGATGCCCATCACAACCTGTTTTTAATGATGAAAAACTGGGTAAACCTAAATGGTCATCAGTACAAGACTGGTTAGAATATGGGATGTCCATACAATACACTCCTTTGCAAAATGAAGCCATGCAAGTAAATGTCTTAGGAAAAATGGCTGGGTGCAGCGACTCACGCCTGTAATCCCAGCACTTTGGGAGGCCAAGGCAGGCAGATCACTTGAGGTTGGAAGTTCAAGACCAGCCTGGCCAACGTGGTAAAATCATGTCTCTACTTAAAAAAAAAAAAAAAAAAAAAAAAAGCTAGGCATGGTGGCGCACGCCTGAAATCCCAGCCACTTGGGAGGCTGAGGTAGGAGAATCACTTGAACCCAGGAGGCAGAGGTTGCAGTGAGCTGAGATCATGCCACTGCACTCCAGCCTGGGCAACAGAGCATGACTTCATCTCAAGAAAAAAAACAGTCTTAGGAAAAATGAAGTAAACATCTAGATTTGTGCAAGGCAAGGTATCTTCTTTCCTCATGGTAAAGTAAAAACACAAGTTACAGGATAGTATAGTTAGTATAATTCTGTTTGCATATTTCAAAAATTGGAAATTGGTATATTTGTAAATGCACAGACACATTTTGGAAGCATAGTTAAGAAACCGAGAAGTGATTGTCTCTGGGGTGTTTGGACTGAGAATTTGGGGAAGAAAAGAGGAAGTTTTAATTTTCACTTTTTATCAATACTGTTTGAGTTATTTGACTTTGAGTACATATTATTAACACATATACTCACTTGCAGATGACAGCACCCCAACTCAAAAGAGATTAAGGAAAAAAGAAAATGTATTAGTTCCTGTCACTGGCTGGGAGCATTGGGCAGTGCTGGATCCAGGTGCTCAAAAGGTGTCGTCATGATTCTGCCTTTCTAAATCTCTTGGTTATTTTTCTTCCTCTTTGGCTGAATCCTCAGGCAGGCTTTCCCTTTGCAGTAGCAAATGGTCACCAGCCACCTCAGACTTAAACTTTTATCAGCTCAGCCATCCCAGTGAAAAGAAAGAGAAATCTTCTTCCCTAAAGTTTCCAGTGAAAGCTGTGGTGTTGACTCTGTTGCATCCTTTCTGGCCATACGTCCATCCCTGAACTATTTATGGAGCCTGAAAAGATGAATTAGGCTGAACGACCAGGTGAGATCATATGGTCACCCTGGACCAGAGGTGGGTTCGGTTTCACCCAAACCACATAGGCTGGGCCATTGCCTGAGAGGGAGGAGGGATTCCAGGAAGAAAAACCAAGGTGCTATTCCCTAAAGATGAGAAAAGGGTCACTATCAGGCAAGAACATCTATTTACCACATACACATTCCTTTTACAATTTTAAAGGGAGAGAGAATTTTAAAAAGAGTGTGAATTGTCAGGGGAAAATCTCAGAGCAAGTCAAATATCTCAGCCTTGCTAGTAAAGCAAAATAGAAACTATTGACAACAATTGAACAAAGGATAGAGAAAATTCCTTTCTACTATCTTTTCAAAAGAATCAAAAGTTGCGTTTGTTTGGTGGAATAATTATGCTGGTTGAATAATTAATGGTAAATATTGGGTTGAACTAAATAAATTATAGTATATTTGTATAATGGGGAATATACAGCCATTAAAACGATGTAGTAGATGAATATTAACACAGGAAAATTTACCACAATTACCTTGAGGAAAAAAATGCAGGTTGCAAAACAATATTTACAATACGATCTCACTTTTATTTAAAAATGTGTATGTATGTATGCATAGTAGAAAAACTCAAAACTAGCCTACAATTGTTTCATCAGCAGCTTTTCTGGGTAGATATGTTATGAATGACTTTTATTTTATCTCTTTCCATTTTTCTATTTTCCAAGTTTTCTCCAATGAATATTTATTGCCTTTTTAAATGTAATTTTAATTTTTATTAGTTATTACTTTAGAAAGTCAAACAGCCCTATAAAACATAATGAAAAGCAGTGTCTTGTCTCTCTCTTCACCCTAGTCCTCATTTCCAGAGGCAAGCACATTCAATGCTTTAGATGTTTTTTTAAGTATTTACTTCCATTTTTCTAAATAACATGTTTATATTGCTATTCTTGATATTTCAAATTTATATGTTACATATTGACTTTCTAATAAGGAGTATGAAGACAATTATGTTACAACACCCTTTGAATACAATTCTTTGTTCATTTTCCCGACATGGCTTAAGTCACTTATACCACGCCCGGCCCAATTCTTATTTTTATTCAATTCGTATTTGTTGGACCATGTATTATTCATTGCTGATCCAGGTTGTGTAATTACATTTCCTTTCATGACACATATTTCTTTTAAGGACTTTAATTTGACCCTGAAAACCCTGCCACTAAGTGAAGACCTGTTAAATGGAAAAAAAAAAAAAAAAAAAAAAAAACTGTATGAATATTAACAGGGGAAAGTATTAATGTATCCCAACCGAAGATGCTCAACTTTCACAGATAGGAAAAATATCAATTGAACAATAAAAACAAGCTTAAATAAATAATACATAATGAGTTGATATAGTAAAGACTTACTTTATTCACCAAAGGAGGAGGAGTAGACTTGAGTGTCTGATGGAAGAGGGAGTCATTCTCTGGAAGGTAGGTTCTTGTTGCACCATTGTATTCATCAACTTTTTGGGGTCATAGTTATCATTTGCTCAAGCTGCACTTAAAAACAGTATGGAACTACACCTTTAGGGCTAAATAAAAGCTAAATATGAGAATACCTCAAAACGTGGAAACAGTATGCACACCCAAAAGACTAAAGTGTTGTAGAAAGTCTTTCTTATTTGGCACTCCTTGCATAACAAAGCATTTGGGGCTCATCCATATGCGGCAAGTAACTCAAATTTGCCCAGTATGCTAGTCTATGAATGGAAATGTTGAATCAGTTGGTAGGTATGTCATTGCCTGAAATTGTAATGTCAAATTATCATGTCTTGCAGCACATATATGTAGTGTGCTTCTGGGTAAAAACTTATCCCCAAAACAAAAATAAAAGACAAATAATAGTTGTCTGAAAAGTGGAATAATTTTTCAAGATATATTATGGAGAGGAAATTTTAAGAGTCCTTATATGAGGTAATTACAGAATGTTTTATTTTTCTTGTACTTAATTGTTTTTTAAGAAAAGTTTGGTGTTTGTCAAATTTCTGGTGAAATATTTGTACAGCTATAGAATGCCTCTCTACATAACAAAGCATGTCAGATAATCTACCACTTTTATTTTTTATCCCCAGAGACACTTTCTAGATATCTCTCTTCTCCTGCTCTACTCTGGATTAGTTTTGCTTTTGAATTGCTGTACAGCTGTTTTCCTGGACTTTTCTTTTCCATCCTCCTGAAAATTCCCTGTCTCTTCTCCCCTGTGCTGGATTACCAGTTGATCGTGTTCCTTTTCTTCAGTTTACTCCTTCATTCCCCTGTGCTGGATTACCAGTTGATCGTGTTCCTTTTCTTCAGTTTACTCCTTCATTTTGATGGAGCATATCCTTCAGTAACTTTTTTAGAAAGGTATATGGGAGGTAATTCTTTAAGACCCTGCATTTTCTAAAAATGTCTCTATTCTATATTCACTTCTGACTGATGGTTTGGCAGGCTAAAGAATTCAAAGTTAGAAATAATTTTCCTTCTGAATTTTAAAAGCACTGTTGTGTCATCTTCTAATTTGACGACATTTTAATCTCTATTTTTCCCTGAGAGCTTTTATTCATTTCTGGTGACCTAAAGTTTTGGAATGACAGACTTTGATTTGAGAATTCCTACATTATGCTAGGCTCTTTGAAGGCCTCCTTAATCTAGAAACTTAGATTCCTCCATTCATTAAAGTTCTTCTCTTTTGTTCTTTGATGTTTCCCCTCCTCCATTGTCTCTCTTGGTTATTTAGACTTTGGATCTCCAGACAGATCTTCTCACTTTATTTCATTTTCCATTTCTGTTGTAATGTTACAGTTTCTGGGGGATGTCCTCAGCTGTATCTTGTCATCCATCTGTTGCATTTTTATTTTGGCTCTCACATTTTTTATTTCTATGAGTTCTTTCTTGTTCTTCTCTTTTTATGAGCTTCATTCTTATTTCATAGTTGCAATATCTTCTCTCATCATGACTACTAATCATATATATATATATTTTTTTTTTTTTTTTTGAGACAGAGTCTTGCACTTTCGCCCAGTCTGGAGTGCAGTAAAGTGATCTTGGCTCACTGCAAGCTCCGCCTCCCGGGTTCATGCCATTCTCCTGCCTCAGCCTCCCAAGTAGCTGGGACTACAGGTGCCCACGACCACACCCAGCTAATTTTTTGTATTTTTAGTAGAGATGGGGTTTCACTGTGTTAGCCAGGATGGTCTCGATTTCCTGACCTCGTGTTCCACCTGCCTCGGCCTCCCAAAGTGCTGGGATTACAGGTGTGAGCCACCTCACCAGGCCCATATTTTATTTTTTTTGAGACGAAGTCTCGCTCTGTTGCCCACGGTAAAGTACAGTGGGGTGACCTTGGCCCACTACAACCTCCGCCTCCCAGGTTCAAGCAATTCTTCTGGCTCAGCCTCCTGAATAGCTGGGACTATAGGTGCGTGCCACCATGCATGGCTAATTTTTGTATTTTTAGTACAGACAGGGTTTCAGTATGTTGGCCAGTATTATTTTGCCCCTGCTTTGTATTAATTGTGTCAGAGTTATTTCCTTCTTCCCTCCCTCCCTCCTTTCTTCCTTCCTTTTCTCATCTCTTTCTCTCTTTCTTTTGCTCTGATTGTTATTTTTAGTCTCTATCTTCTGTGTCAAAATCAGTCCCTCAATATCTGATGAACATCTAGGAGAGAGGCTCTAAACTGCTGATTGGAATTTCTTTGCTTGTTAGTGTGGCTTAGCAGCTGGTGAACTCTTCACTACAGGCTGACTGAGAGGGACCTGGCTGTTTCACTTGGGACTCCTTGTTGTTCATATTTTTAAGCCAATTTTCTGGGCTGATTAGAACCCTACAGCCTCCTGCCTGGGGTGGGGTGGTTTAGGTTTGGCTGTAGCTTTATGGGACCCAGGTAGGGGCAGCATATTTGACAGTCCAACTTTTCAGAATGTAAACCCTGTGTGTAGTAGGCATCTTCTACCTCTCTCACATATATCCCACGTCTACGAGTTGACCTCACCAGAAAGTAAATCTCCCATCTCTGCCTGGGTATAGAAGGGGTAGTTACCAGACCATAAGGATTGAGGTTGGAGGTCTGAGCATCTAGATTCTCCTTTTTAAAGGTCAGCTATGTTTAAAAGGACATAGTACATAATGTTTTGATTTAAAAGAAAATATTTTAATGGGGAAGGGCAATTATGCTCCACTTAAAGTAAATCCCACCTCATTAAGACCAAATGATTCCAACAGCACACACATTCTAGCACTGCAAGATATCTGATTGTTCACTAAGAAAATTTCCAGTGAGCAAAAGCCATGAGCAAACTCTTAAACTCTGGAATCTAAAGAACAATAAAAATGGATGTTCCGAGGACATCATATTCCATCACCACTGAAGTTGCCTTGTATATTACCATGGCTAAAACTTCCTACCCTCAGCCATTATGTCAGCAGGCAGTGAAGGCTACATGGGTGCCTTTCTTTTTTTTTTTTTTTTTTTTTTTTTAGACAGTGTCGCTTTGTTGCCCAGGCTGGAGTGCAGTGGCACAATCTCAGCTCACTGCAAGCTCCACCTCCTAGGTTCAAGCGAATCTCATGCCTCAGGCCTCTCAGGTAGCTGGGGTTACAGGTATGCACCACCACGTTTTTTTTGTGTTTTTTTTTTTTTTTAAGAGATGGGGTTTTGCCCTGTTGGCCAGGCTGGTCTCAAACTCCTGGCCTCAAGTGATCTGCCTGCCTCAGCCTCCCAAAGTGCTGGGATCATGTGCATAAGCCACCACACCCAGCCAGTGGGTGCCTTTCTGTGAATTAAAGGCATGATTAATAAACGTATTTTTTGGCCACCATTTATTTAGCACCTACTAGGTGCCAGGCCTTGGGCCAGGTGCTTTTAACATATTATTTCATACCTGTATTATCACATAAGGTTGTGTCCTACACAATCCAAGGGCTGTCATTGATTTTGTAGCCCATATCAATGATGGCTCCCTGGAACTGTGCAGTGCACAACCTGAGCAGAAATACATGGTGACTCTGATTTAAATCCTTCCAATAATTCTAAGGAGTTCAGATCACTCAACAGATGATGAAACCATGGTTCAGACAGAATAAGAAACTGGCTGAAGTTCTCACAGCTATCAAGTATTGGAGCTGAGATTCTAATCCCCAAACCACCTGATTTTAAAGTTGGTGCTGTTACCAGGACTCTACTTTCACTATGGCAGGGAGGGCAGATGGGGTAGGATGGAGGGGCTAGGGGCTACATAATGACACCAGCTGTTTTCAGCAGGTGCTGGTTCTACCCTGAAAGCTGCCCCCTGGTCTAGACCTCAGCATGCCTTGCCACATAGGAAAGTCCTCCAGAAAGCCATTGCCATTTTAAACTCTGGCTCAGTGTTGGGGCTTCTCTCAGTGACACCTGGGGCCAGGACTGGTATTTGTTTATCCCGTGTCCTCACTCTCCTTTGCAGTCAGACCACTAGAGGTTTCTGGGTCTTGAAGGGAGGTGTCCTTTCAAGAAGGGACTTAGAAGGTGCAGTCTGGGCTAGCAAGAGGGTTGTGGAAGAGGAACAGAGAGCCATGCTTAGAGCAGGTTCAGTGTCTAGCAAGGAACTTCAGTGCAAATGGCTGTAAGGGCATAAATCCTGCAAGCCAGGAATAGTGAAGTAGCTGCCCTACCAGAGAGCCTCACCCCTTGGGTTAGGGGTTGGGGTGGAGGAACATGTGTGCACGTGTGTGTGCATGTGTATTCATGCATGTGCATGCTTGTGGAAGTGTGTGGTGTTCACAACACTTGTGTACGTGCAGAAATACAAATATGAAACTTGGAAAAACTGCCATGGGAATGAAAACCCATGAAAGTCTGACTTCTATATGAATGGGAGGTACCTGCGCATGTGCATGTGCAAACACACATACACACAGATGTTTACATATCAAGTTCTTGTGCACAAGATTCATTTGCCCCGTTCCCAATCCAGGCAGATTTGGATGCTTTTATTTTTTTAATACTTTAAGTTCTAGGGTACATGTGCACAATGTGCAGGTTTGTTACATATGTGTACATGTGCCGTGTTGGTGTGCTGCACCCATTAACTCGTCATTTAGCATTAGGTATATCTCCCAATGCCATTCCTCCCCCCTCCCCCCACCGCACAACAGGCCCCGGTGTGTGATGTTTCCCATCCTGTGTCCAAGTGTTCTCATTGTTCAATTCCCACCTCTGAGTGAGAATATGCGGTGTTTGGTTTTCTGTCCTTGTGATAGTTTGCTCAGAATGATGGTTTCAAGCTTCATCCATGTCCCTACAAAGGACATGAACTCATCCTTTTTTATGGCTGCATAGTATTCCATGGTGTATATGTGCCACATTTTCTTAATCCAGTCTATCATTGATGGACATTTGGGTTGGTTCCAAGTCTCTGCTATTGTGAATAGTGCCGCAATAAACATACATGTGCATGTATCTTTATAGCAGCATGATTTATAATCCTTTGGGATGCTTTTTATTTTTCTTTGTGTTTCTGTTGAAATGTTTTCAAGCACCTCAGAAGTAGCAACCACTTACTCTTCTTGCAATAGTAATATAACTAGGCAGTAACTTATTTCCTAGCCAGACAATGTGTTCAACCCTTTATATGCATTACGTTGTTGACATTTTCCAGGACCTTATGAAATAGATGTCATATCCAACTTTCAGATAAGAGAACTGAGATCCTGAGAGGTGAAGTCATGTACCCAGGTCTCACTGTTCATAATTGGCTGTGGACACATCCTAACCCATATCTAACCCCAAATATGGGCTCATTCTGACACATTCACTAATGCAACAAATGTTTATTGTGCATCTATTAAAGGTCGGGCACTGTTCTAATCACTGGAGATGAGGCAGTGAATGAAATAGATGAAAATCCCTGACCTCATACATGTGGCCAACAAGCATATGAAAAAAAACTCAGCATCAATGATCATTAGAGAAATGCAAATCATAACCACAACGATATACTACCTCACACCAGTAAGAATAGCTATTATTAAAAAGTCAAAAAATAACATGCTGGCGAGGTTGTGGGGAAAAAGGAACGCTTATACACGTTGGTGGGAGTGTAAATTAGTTCAGCTACTGTGGAAGACAGTGTGGTGATTCCTCAAAGACCTAAAAGCAGAACTACCATTCAACCCAGCAATCCCATTGGTGGGTATATACCCAAAGGAATATAAATTATTCTATTATAGAGACACATGCATGCATATGTTCATTGCAGCATAATTTACAATATTGAAGACATGGAATCAACCTAAATACTCATCAGTGATAGACTGAATAAAGAAAAATAAAGAAAATGTGGTACATATGCACACCATGGAATACTATGCAGCCATAAAAAAGAATGAGATCATGTCCTTTGCAAAGACATGGATGGAGCTGGAAACCGTTATCCTCAGCAAACTAACACAGGAACAGAAAACCAAATACCTCATGTTCTCACTTATAAGTAGGAGCTAAATGATAGGAACACATGGACACATGGGGATAACAACACACACTGGGGCGTTTTGGAGGGTGGAGGGTTGGAGGAGGGAGAGGATCAAGAAAAACAACTAATGGATACTAGGCTTAATACCTGGGTGATGAAATAATCTATACAACAAACCCCCATGACATAAGTTTACCTATGTAACAAGCCTGCACTTGTACCCCTGAACTTAAAAGTTAAAAAGGAAAAAAAAAATCCCTGACTTCATGAAGCTTACATTATGTAAGGGGAAACAGATCAAACAAGTTAAACGATAAAACATATCAAGTGTAAATAATAAGGCTAAGTAGGGAAAAGCAGCGCAAGGAAGAAAGGCAGCAATTTGAAGTGGCTGAGGCTTTGGATGGAGTGACCAGAGAGAGCTTCACGGAAAAGGTGACATTAAGGGAGCATGCCACAGAGTTATCTAGGAGAAAAGTATTCCAAGCAGAGGAAACAGCCAGTTCAGCAGTCCTGAGTGGGAGTGGTGTCAGCTGTGTTCAAAGAATATTGAGGAAACCAGCATAGCTAGATCAGAGGCCATATTGGGGAAAGTAGTGAATATCATATACTTCCTTTAGTGATGAAATTAAAACGTGTATAACCAATGCCGTACATACACTGATGTCTTACCTCTGACAAAGCATGTTCACCATACTTTACATTCCTGGCATCTTTCACTAAAGTCTATAGAGATTGGAGGCTGGGTTTTGTCCCTAGGGAAGGAGGGAGAGAACCTTTAGATTTCTGCTGATATCCACCTGCACTGAAGGAACGTGCATGGTTAATAGGGGGAGGGATGGACCAGCAGAAGATGAGAAAACCTTAACCCTATCATTGCAATGATGTTGCCCTCAAGCAACTTAGCAGCCAGCTCATGAGCAGCCCTGAAGGCCCCTGCAAAATGATACCCCTGCAGCCCTACCTTTCCCCTCTTTGTTGGAGCTAAAAGGGAAACTGTTTAATTCTTAGGACCACATATTTAGCTAACCTGCTCTGGCCTAAGTGATATTTTATGAGGAATTAAGCTCATGGCTGATCATCTTTCACACTGAGGCGGTGGTTGATGTATCCTGGGGAGACCTCACTGTTGAGCCAGCCTCTCTGTTATTGGCAGGGCTTGGGCCTGGGCCTGGGCCTGGGCTTGGGCTGGAGAAATGGCCCCCGTCTTGCCTTTGTTCCAGATGCAAGCCAAGTCTGGGGTTTTGGAGATCTTAAGGAAAGCAGGGCCAACCCAAAGGAAATCAGACACAGAGAACAAAACAAATTGAATTTTTTGAGGAAATTGCTTTTTGCCTCCCATGTCTCATTCCCTTTTATTTAATTTTTGGGGTTCTGTGTGAGTTAGTTACAAACAGTCGACTCAGTATTTTCTACTTATTAATAAATATTAAATATTGAAGAATCAAATTCTGGGTGGCTGGTAGACCTGGGTGGCCACAATGCCAGTTGCTGCTATTGCCTCAGCCTCCTTTCTGGGGTTTCTTCTCCTACATTGACCGATGGTGCCTTTTGACTTCCATCTCCCTGGTCATAGGGAATTGGTCTGTCACCTAAGGACTGCCAATCCATACATTGATCACCAACACATGAGGTGGTGTTGGGCACAAGTTAAGTCTAACTGGGACAAGGGTGACTATCTGAGCCCTTCAGGTTCCCTCACAGACCCCAAAATCTGGAGACTTATGTGCTTGGTGGTATGAGTTAAAGCTAAAGGCACAAAGAGAGGCAGAGACAGAGAGCAGCTGAAGGCTGATGAGAGGTAAACAGGTAACTGGTCACAAGAATGTGCTAGGGATGGGTTTGGCAACTCACACCTGCAATCTCAGCACTTTGGGAAGCTGAGGCAGGAGGATCGCTCGAGCCCAGAAGTTCAAGATCAGCCTGGGCAATGTAGGGAGAACCTATCTCTACAAAAAATAAAATAAGGGCAAAGTCTGAGTCCTGTCCTCTCACTCTCCTCCCTGGACGGCATGAGCTTCACCACTCGCTCCACCTTCTCCACCAGCTGCCGGTCCCTGGGCTCTGTCCAGGTGCCCAGCTACGGCACCCGGCTGGTCAGCAGCGCGGCCAGCGTCTATGCAGGCGCTCTATGCAGGCGCTGGGGGCTCTGGTTCCCGGATCTCTGTGTCCCGCTCCACCAGCTTCCAGGGTGGCATGGGCCTGGGGGCCTGGCTGCGGGGATGGCTGGGGGTCTGGCAGGAATGGGAGGCATCCAGAACGAGAAGGAGACCATGCAAAGCCTGAACAACCACCTGGCCTCCTACCTGGACAGAGTGAGGAGGCTGGAGACTGAGAGCCGGAAACTGGAGAGCAAAATCTGGGAGCAGTTGGAGAAGAAGGGACCCCAGGTCAGAGACTGGAGCCATTACTTCAAGACCATCGAGGACTTAAGGGCTCAGATCTTCACAAATACTGTGGACAACGCCCACATCATTCTGCAGATCGACAATGCCCATCTTGCTGCTGATGACTTTAGAGTCAAGTATGAGACAGAGCTGGCCATGCACCAGTCTGTGGAGAGTGACATCCATAAACTCCGCAGGGTCATTGATGACACTAATGTCACTCGGCTGCAGCTGGAGACAGAGATTGAGGCTCTCAAGGAGGAGCTTCTTTTCATGAAGAAGAACCATGAAGAGGAAGTAAAAGGTCTGCAAGCCCAGACTGCCAGCTCTGGGTTGACTGTGGAGCCAGATGCCCCCAGATCTCAGGACCTCACCAAGATCATGGCAGACATTCTGGCCCAATATGACAAGTTGGCTCAGAAGAACCTAGAGGAGCTGGACAAGTACTCGTCTCAGCAGATTGAGGAGAGCACCACAGTGGTCACCACACAGTCCACCGAGGTTGGAGCTGCTGAGATGACACTCATGGAGCTGAGATGTACGGTCCAGTCCTTGGAGATTGACCTGGACTCAATGAGAAACCTGAAGGCCAGCTTGGAGAACAGCCTGAGGGAGGTGGAGGCCCACTATGCCCTGCAGATGGAGCAGCTCAACAGGATCCTGCTGCACCTGGAGTCAGAGCTGGCACAGACCTGGGCAGAGGGACAGCGCCAGGCCAAGGAGTATGAGGCCCTGTTGAATATTAAGGTCAAGCTGGAGGTTGAGGTCACCACTACCACCACCTGCTGGAAGACGGCGAGGACTTCAATCTTGGTGATGCCCTGGACATCAGCAACTCCATGAAAACCATCCAAAAGACCACCACCTGCCAGATAGTGGATGGCAAAGTGGTGTCTGAGACCAGTGACACCAAAGTTCTGAGACATTAAGCCAGGAGAAGCAGGGTACTCTCTGGGGAGCAGGAGGCCAATAAAAAGTTCAGAGGTCAGGCTGGGCGTGATGGCTCACACCTGTAATCCCAGCACTTTGGGAGGCTGAGGCGGGCAGATCACCTGAGGTCAGCAGACTGGCCAACGTGGTGAAACCCCGTCTCTACGAAAACACAAAAATTAACTGGGCATGATGGCAGTTGCCTGTAATCCCAGCTACTTGGGAGACTGGGGCGGAAGAATCGCTTGAACCCGGGAGGCAGAGGTTGCAGTGAGCCGAGATCATGCCATTGCACTCCAGCCTGGGTGACAGAACGAGACTGTCTCAAAAAGAAAAAAAAATTCAGAGGTCAAAATAAATAAATAAATAAATAAAATAAGATAAAATAGCCAGGCACAGAGGCACAAACCTTTAGTCCCAGCTACTCAGGAGGCTGAGGTAGAAGGATTGCTTGAGCCTTGGAGGTTGAGGCTGCAGTGAGACTGCCCCACGGCACTTCGGCCTGGGTGACAGAGACCCTATCTCAAAAAAATTTAAAAATGTGCTGGATCCTGGTGGGCCTCTCTCTTCCCTCCACTGTTCTTTCTCTCCTTTTCTCCCCAATTCTTTTTGCCATCTTTTTCTCTTCCTACCTCCAAGTCTGCTTCTCTCAATGTATGACTTCATACATTCCAGAGGCAAAAGAGAGGAAGAGTGGGAGGGAGGCCTGGTCCCAAACTATGTAAGCCGTAGGCTTACATCACTCTAGTTGGAAACTCCAGTGGAAGAAAAGAGTTTCTCTTTCCTGGAGCCTATATATAAAATCCCAGGGAAAACCCCTAATTGGTCTGTGTGGGTCACATGCCACCCTTGTCTTGGCAAGTTACTATGGCCATGGAGATGGGTTATTTGATTATCTGGCTTAGGTCACATGCCGAGACCAGTGGCCAGGCAGGCAGCCCCCATGAATCAAATGAAATGAAGAAGTAACTCATTGCAGTAGGTACCGCTACCAGAGGGAGAGGTTAAGAGCAGTGATGGCCATATTAGACCTACACATCAGCCATCGACATTTAGTAATCCACCCTGTTCTAGGCACGATGGGAAAGGAAGTACAGACACAGATCCTCCCAACGTTGGAAACAATGGTAAACTCCACAGAGAGTTGCAAACTTATTTTGTAAGTATCAGCACTTACGAAGCAGCCTGTCTCCACTGGAAAACCGAACTTCCTCATATTGTCTAATCCTTTTCTAAGCTCCAAGCCCCCTGCCCCTCTGATTCACAAGGGTTTCACTCAGGGCAGCATGGGGAACCTGTGGAAGGTAGGTTAGGCCCACTTCCCTGGCACCCTTGGGCATACTCTTAGGCTGTAGATCATATGACAATTCAAGAAACAGAGGTGGGGTAGGGTGGAGATGAACGAGTGCAGACAATCACTGTCCTCACCTGAAGACAGCCAGGAAAGGTCAGGTGACCAGAGGACTCTAGGTCAATAACAGATTGGCTGCCAGGATAGTCTTACCTAGCTTGGGGGTAGAGTATGAGGAAATACTTCAAAGAATACAGGCTACAGGGAAAACAAAACAAAACAAAAAAACACAGGATCTTTTGCAAAGAGTAGTGAAGAGGAGGTCCTTTAACCTGGACAACCTGATTAGTGCAGATCACCAATTGTTGGCCCAACTCCTAGAAAGAAGGAATGAGCTAAGGATGGGAGGGCATGGCTTTCAGCTTCAGGAGCGGGTAAGAAGGAAGGCAGGAGGGACATGTGGCATGGAAAATAGTTTGGTAAGCTCCATCCCTGGAATCAGAGCTGAAAAGAACTTATAGATACCTTCACAGGGGCTGTCAGGAACTAAAGCCTAGAACCAAAAGACAGAGGGAGAGAAAGATTATGAGGAAGAAGATGAGGCTCTGTACTGAATAGATTAATTGTAGAATAATAGATGTCCCTTTCACTCAGTGAGGGCCTCTGGACTGGGTGACACTCAGTAGAAGTCAACAGTAACTGGATATGATTATGAAGAAGGACCATGTCATCCAAGGCCAGGATGGGCTGTGGGCAGGTCCTCCACCTATCCTGCTGTGTACTGTACAATCTGGGGGGCTCCATTCCTATTTTGATCTATGTCTACGGTGCTTCCTTCAGTGGTGTGGTGCACAACCTGACCATAGCAGTAAAGCATTTCCTTGATATTTCAATGGCTAGATGGATACATCTTATCTAATGACTCGTGCAGCAACAAATGTGCCTGAAAACCAACCAGGAACTGTACTGAGTCCCGGGGATCAGGTAAGGTGTTGTGGTTCCTGGGAGAGACAGTCACAGGGGTCTGTGTTCATATAATTGTCCAAGTTGTAGGGACAGAGAGAAGGGAGTATTTCATTCTGTCTGGAGAGAGTGGTCAGAGAAGACTTCAACAAGAAGGTGATACTTGAGCTAAGGCTGAAAGATGAAGGGTTAACCAGACAGTGAGAGGTGAGAGGGCCCATTTCTGGAAGAAGAAATAACACAAACAAAGGCAAAGAACTGCTGGTTCATGTCCTACCTAATAGGAAAGCCAGTTTAGATATTTGAGTTTGCAGTGGCATAGAATATAGAGTTTAGTAGGCATGTGGGAACTTGGATGTGGAAGGGCTTTAAGTGTTTTGCTGAGAGGTTAGATCTCCATACTGGAGGTATACGGAGGGGCAAGAACCAAGGTCTTGTGTAACCCATGGAACCTCTATGTCCATCCTGTAAGGCTTGGATTGTGACAGTGGAAGTAGTAAAAAGCAACATGGAGAAGAATACACTTGCTATGTGTCTGCTTACTGAAAGGTCTGCTATAGTCTGAATATGTTCCCCCAGAATTTATATGTTGAAGCTTAATCACCAATGTGACAGTATTAAGAGATGGAGGCTTTAAGAGGTGATGAAGTCATGAAGACAGAGCCTCCATGAATAAGATTAGTGACCTTGCTAAAGAGGTTGAAGGGAGTTCCCAGGTCCCTTCTACCAGGTGAGGATGCAGCAAGAGGCATCATCTATGAAGTATCTGTGAGCCTTCACCAGACACCAGATCTGCTAGTGCCTGGTTCATGGACTTCCCAGCCTCCAGAACTGTGAGCAATACATTTCTGTTATTCATAAACTACCTAGTGTAAGGTATTTTGTTATAGCAACTTGAATGGACTAGGATGGGGCCTATGTTTACTAGGTCCTTTATTGCATTTATGAATGCCTCCTGGGCAGGCAGATACTTTGGCAGAGTGAAGTTGACAGGTGTTAGAGCCAATGTGCATCAGCAGGGACTCTGGGGGACTGAAGCATGTGTGCCCTGTTTAAAGGGACAGTCATTACTCAGCTCTAGTTAATTGTTGCCATGAAGAAATGTGGTCTCACTTTTGCCAGCTCCCTTGATTTTTCAAGAGAAGGCAGAAATCAAAGGTTTTAGGTAAAATTTTCTCTGCTTTAAATGAAAGCAACTGATTCAAATGTTTCCAAAACATCATGCAGGCCAAACAAAATTCAAGCATAAGCAGGATTTAGCTAGCCACCTAGTTCTCCTACCTTCCCATTCATCACCTACCCGCCCATCCAGCCATCCATTCACCCACCCGTATACACATCCATCCATTTGTCCATTTATCCATGCACACTCCTTCCATCCACCCATCCACACACATAAACATACATCCACCCACTAATCTATCCACTCACCTATCTATCCATCCATCCATCCATCCTATCTATCTACCCATACACACACATAGCCATACATCCATCCCACTAATCTCTCCACCCACATATCAGTTCACTCACTCACCCACCCACCCGTCCACCCACCCATCCATCTATCCATCCATCCATCCTATCTACCCATACACACAGCCATACATCCACCCCACTAATCTTTCCACCCACATATCCATCCATTCATCCATCCATCCTCCCTCCATCCATCCTATTGATCTACCCATACACGCACACAGCCATACATCCACCCCACTAATCTTTCCACCCACATATCCATTCATCCACCTACCCACCCACCCACCCATCCATCCATCCCTACCTCCATCCCTCCATCCATCCATTCCTCTTCCACTGTTAAAGTACACTCCCTTTCAAACCTTTACAAGATGGAAACATTCATTTTGTTCCATCTTCTCCACCTGCCCTTGGTCTTGGAAGTCCTGTTTCCCTCCAAATTCAGGCAAATTAAGTTTGTAAAGTGGTGCAAATATTAGTGAGGTTGTGCCTACCTCTTTTTACAGGGAATTTTTTGCTTTCTCTTTCTGTCCTTGCTGTGCAGCCTGAAGTAGGAGTGTATTTTTTCTCCCCTTGGATTTGAGCCTTCATAAGTGTTCCAGAACAAAATTAAACCAAATAGAGAATTAGATTCCCCTCCCTTTTCTTGGAAATATCTTGCCACTGGGCCAGGCTTCCTGGGAATTAAATAACTCTTCAAAAGGAGACCAGAAAAAGATTTCTCAGTGGGGTTTCTAGATGTCAGTAAATGGATTTATGGAAAATGGGTTAGGTTTGGCAAATTTTAAATTGTGATTGGATGAATGTGCAATCTATCTCTGTAAATAACCCCTTTTCACTTTCTCCTTCTCTATATCCAATTGGAACTCTTCCTCTTTAATATCTGGCTTCCATTGTCCTTCCTTACTTTACCTAAATGCTTTACCTAAATATCTCCTCCAGCCTAGGGTTAGAGGATTGGAAAGGGAGAAGGTCAGATAACTAATATTTACTGTGCTAAATTCTTGATCTATGTGATAGCATTTATATTTCTGATTTCCATGGCAGATATCCCAGCATGATCTAAGTAGGAGGGCATTACTAGATATATACATGCTTTGAGCTTCAATTTTTTTCATCTGTCAGATGGAACAAAGCTTCCATATCTCCTTTCCCAACCAAATGAAAATATCTTCAAAGGGTCTACCATGGTACCTGACAATACCACTATGACTAGTCCACCCTCAAAGGAATTAAAGCTTTGCTAAAATGTATATGCTCTCTGGGAGCTCATCCCATTGTCAAATCAGCTTTTATTATTATTCAAATGTATTTGTGAGATTAGGAGGCCCAGAGAGCCTGGAACACAGGAGGGTAGGTCTTGATGGATTCTGATGGAGCAGGGGGAGGTCTGCATAGTCGCTGCCGGGAAGGAACATGGGAGAGAAGCATGATCCTGTGGCACCTTAGGGACAGTTTGAGGCTGTCTGGGGAAGGAATGAAAAAGGAGAAGCGGACACCTTTTCTCTCACCTCTAGACCACTCATTTGGTCTGCTACTTTTTCAGCTGAACACCTCCCCATCTGTGAGGAAATGGTGCATCAGAACAGGATGGTGTCATAAACTGAGCAGTTCTTATCATCCATACCCTCAGTCTTCCTTTCTATCAAATGGACAGAATTGCTGTGAGAAATTCAGCAAGATAAGGTAATGTTTGTGCAAGGGCCTGACTTCACCTCCAAGGGGCTGCTTCTGTCTGAGCTCAGTCAATCTGCGGTTGGGCCTCTCCTGATAGAGAGGCCAGAGAGAGAGGTCTTTACATCTGGGATCAGGAGTGAGGGTAGGACAGGTGACCCACCAGTGCTTAATCACCTGCTGACTTGCAAGGGCAGAGGTAAATACAGTCGTCCCTCAGTATTCACAGGGGATTGGTCCCAGGACTCCCCTTAGATATCAAAATCCAAGAATTCTTAAGTCCCTTATATAAAATGGTGTAGTATTTGCATATGACCTATGCACATCCTTTTGTATACATTCAATCATCTCTAGATTATTAATGATACCTCATACAATGTAAACGCTACATAGTTGTTATACTATATTGTTTTTTATTTGGACTATTTTTATTGTTGTATTGTTGTTACTTAGTGCTTTGTATATCTTCCTTCTGTGATTGGTGGATGTGGAACCCGATGAAGCGGAAGGCCTGCTGTACAACAGCAGTGGCAGCTCTTAATGCTTATTTTGTGCCAAGCATTTTACAGATGTTATTTCATGTAATACTTTTCACAACCCCCGAAGTAGGAATTCTTTTGATTCCCGTTTTATAACTGAGGAAGTAGAGGCATGGTGGGAGGGTGAAATAATTTCCCCAAAGCCCCAGTGAGTGGGATAGTTAGGATGGAGTAGTGGCAACAGAGACCATATGGTCTGCAAAGCCTAAAATATTTACCATCTGGCCCTTGACAGAAAAAGTGTCCTGACTGCTGCTACAGCAGAACGAGCTACTACCAAGGCAGGAGACAGAGGGGACAAGGGGATGAATACCCTGGCTGCACCACCCTCTCACTCCGGCCTCTACTTCTGTTACTGCCTCCCACTGGCTCACCCAGGAACCCAGGGAATCTGCTCTCCCGGCTGTGCCCTCAACTCCCTCATTTCATTGCTTCCTTGTTTAGGGCCTTTCTGATGAGATGGGAGTTTCTGGAAGACTTGGGACTTCATAGTTGTTTTGTTTGTTTGTTTGTTTGTTTTTTTGAGATGAAGTCTTGCTCTGTCGCCCGGGCTAGAGTGCAAGTGGCGTGATCTTGGCTCACTGCAACCTCTGCCTCCTGGGTTCAAGAGATTCTCCCGCCTCAGCCTCCTGAGTAGCTGGGATTATAAGTGCCCACCACCATGCCCAGATAATTTTTGTATTTTTAGGAGTGATGGGGTTTTACCATGTTGGCCAGGCTGGTCTTGAACTCCTGACCTCAGATGATCCGCCTACCTTGGCCTCCCAGTGTTGGGATTACAGGCGTGAGCCACAGTGCCCGGCCTTCATAGTATTTAGGAGTCAGGGCAGCCAGGCATGGTGGCTCACACCTGTAATCCCAGAACTTTGGGAGGCCGAGGTGGGCGAATCACGAGGTTAGGAGTTCCACACCAGCCTGGCCAATATGGTGAAACCCCGTTTCTACTAAAAATGCAAAAAAAAAAAACTAGCCAGGCGTGGTGGCACGCGCCTGTAGTCCCAGCTACTCGGGAGGCTGAGGCAGGAGAATCACTTGAACCAAGGAGGCAGAGGTTGCGGTGAGCCGAGATTGTGCCACTGCACTCCATCCTGGGCAATAGAGGGAGACTCTGTTTCAGAAGGAAAAAAAAAAAAAGTCAGGGCAGCTCAGAGATAAAGATTCAAATCCTGACTAATCTTTCTAGTCCTGAGTTTCCCTGACTTGACAATAGGACTGATGTGAGGCCTGAGGGAGAGGATCTGGTAAGGCCCAAGGAGAGCCCTTGGAGAATAGAAAGGCCTTTTCCAAACTTGCTGGCCCTTCTCCCTTGGAGGGGCCTGCTCGGGGGGCCTCCCTGACCCTCTCTCTCCCCTAACCTGGCTTTGCTTTTCTTCATATCACTCATCCCTACTTCATGCTACATATGTGTTATATGTACACATATCTGTGTATAGCAGACATGTATTTTGTATGTAGAAATGCACATAGGTGTATTGTACATGCATGTGTATGTGTATACATACATGCTGTGTGTATTAGTTTCTTGCCTTCCTCCCACACTATTGTCTTATTCATCGCCCTATCCCCAATGCCTAAAACACCCACCCGCTCAAATCAGGCACTTGATAACTGCTGGTTGAATGAATGATTGAAACAATGTCTGTTACTTTTAACAATTTCTTCTGCATCCTTCTTACTACCCAGCTGGCAGGGTACTTTCCCCTCCAGATTGTTCTGGATGAATGAAGGCATTTTTGATACTGATTTATAAGCATTTCCAGGATTGGGCCCCTAAATAAGGCAGGGGCCCACAGTCTCATCTAAATAAATGGGTTCTCCCCATCCTTGTGCCCTGTAGCTCTGCCGTCACCCTGAGTTTGCTTTCCCTTCCCATGAGCTCGCCCTCCTCATTTCCTACCCCGTGGCCTCATGTGGCAGGTGAATGGGGCAGACATCTGCGCTGCTGGCCAGCACCAAGCCAGGGGAAATGTGTGCAATTTCCTGAGCAGCACAGGAGGAGAGCGAAGGAAGAGGAAGGAGGATTGCTGAGGCCAGCTGGCAGCCTCCTGGCTTTATTTCCTGGGGACTCCAGCAGCCAGCAGAGAAGGAGTGAAATGGGATTGAGCAAGGTTCCTAGGCCCTCTGGCTGTGGGTATTGTGGGTGAGAACTGAGGACTGGCTCCGAGGTTGGGTGGGTGGCAGAAACATCTCTTTATCTTTTGATGAAGCTTGCCTTAGCTTTTGTGGTTCTCTGGGCTTTACTCAAGAACACGTTTGCATCTAAAATCCCTGAGAGACTGTTTTCAGCCCTTGAAGCTCGGCCTCCTTTTTCTAGCTAGTGTGGGGCTGCCAGGCTAACACAGGTGTAGGCACTCTCAAAATTCCCCACACTTCTCTTGGGGGTGCAGAGAAAATGTCATTCCTTTATTTGTTTATAATTACTCTGATTTTCCGCACAGGACCTGGCTGCTTGATAAAACACTTTTAGTCCAATCCTGTAACCTAATTTGATGCAGGTTTTTAGAAGTCATGGTTAGCCTCTTTAAGTAAAACAAAACAAAAAAAATCCCAGTCCCTCATATTTTCCCTCCTGCCCCTCCATGAGATGGTGCCCGGGTGTGTGGAGAAGGACTGGGGCCTGCATGTGTGGTGGCAGAGGGAGGTGGTGGCCTTCGGATCCTTGCTGGCTAGCTGCAGAGTCGCTGGTCTGGGCTGCTTCTTGCCCTGGGCCTGCGGAGGTGGCGTGGTCCAAGCTGGCCCCCAGGTGGGGGCCACTGAAGCCTGTGGCTGGCATCCCATGTGGTCTGGTCCCTCTCTTGGCTTGATCAGGTCCTAGACATATTCCCTGCCCAAGCTCCCTCTTGATTCTCACCTATGAGCACCTGTTGTCTTCTCCCTCTTAGCCCCTCCATGGTTGGGGCACTCTTCAGAGACAAGAGGCAACTCATATCCAGTTTACCTTCTAAATCGGTCCTTTCCTTTCCTTTCATTATTATTATTATTATTATTATTATTATTATTATTATTATTATTATTTGAGACAGACAAAGTCTCACTCTGTTGCCCAGGTTGGAGTAGAGTGGCACGATCTTGGCTCACTGCAACCTCTGTCTCCTGGGTTCAAGCGATTCTCATGCCTCAGCCTCCTGAGTAGCTGGCATTACAGGCATGGCCACCATGCCCAGCTAATTTTTTGTATTTTTAGTAGAGATGGGGTTTTGCCATGTTGGCCAGGCTGGTCTCGAACTCCTGGCCTCAAGTGATCTGCCCTCCTCGGCCTCCCAAAGTGCTGAGATTACAGGTATGAGCCACCGCGCCTGGCCTCATTATGATTCTTTTTTTTTTTTTTTTTTTTTTGAGACGGAGTCTCGCTCTGTCACCCAAGCTGGAGTGCAGTGGTGTGATCTTGGCTCACTGCAAGCTCCGCCTCCCGGGTTCACGCCATTCTCCTGCCTCAGCCTCGCGAGTAGCTGGGACTACAGGTGCCCGCCACCACGCCCGGCTAATTTTTTTGTATCTTTTTAGTAGAGACGGGGTTTCACCGTGTTAGCCAGGATGGCTTTGATTTCCTGACCTCGTGATATGTCCACCTTGGCCTCCTAAAGTGCTGGGATTACAGGCGTGAGCCACTGCGCCCGGCCATTATGATTCTTTTATGGGCAATTTCAAGCTTAGAATTTCGAATATAAAATATCAGACAGTGTCCAAACTAGAAAGAGAGGATACACTCAAAAAGCGTTTACCCAAGGAGAACTGAATGAAGGGGCCAAAGAAGGCGTCATCAGGGTTAATGGAACCAAAAAGGGAAAGTGTCACACCCAAGGATTAGCAATAGTGGGAAGCTATTACCACCTCTGCTGCAGGGGCAGAGACCAGGGAGAAATGAACACATGGAAAAGGCACTAACCACCGGAAGCAGGGGCCGGCGAACTATGGCCCGGGAGTCTGCCACCTGTTTTACAGATAAAGTTTTACTGGAAGACAGCTATGTCCATTCATTTACATATTCTCTATAGCTGCTTTGTGCTACAACGGCAGATCTGAGCCCTGGTGACAGACTGTATTGCCCACAAAGCCTAAAATATTTGCTGTCTTATGCTTTGCCAGAAAAAGTCTGCTGATCACTGCTGTTACGGGCAGTGTAACCCCCAAAATCCATACATTGAAGTCCTAATGCCAGTACCTCAGAATGTGACTGTAATTGAAGATTGGGTCTTTAAAGAAGTAATAAAATTACAATGAAGCCATTAAGGTGAGCCCTAATCAAATATTACTGGTGTCCAGTTTTTTGATTTTTCTTGTTTTTGTTGTTTTGAGACAAGGTCTTGGTCTGTTGCCCAGGCTGGAGTGCAGTGGTGCAATCTCAGCTCACTGCAGCCATGACCTCCCAGGCTCAAGAAATCCTCCCACCTCAGCCTCCTGGATAGCTGGAACTACAGGTGTGTGCCTCCATGCCTGGCTAATTTTGTTTATTTGTTTATTTTTTGGTAGAGATGGGGTTTCACCGTGTTGCCCATGGGTGTCTCGAACTCCTGGGCTCAAGCAATCCGCCTGCCTCAGCCTCTCAAAGTGCTGGGATTATAGGCATGAGCCACTAGCGTCCTAATAAGAAGAGATTAGGGCACAGACATGCACAAAGGGAGGACCATGTGAAGATGCAGGGAGAAGATGGCATGTGTAAATCAATGAGAGAGGCCTTAGAAGATAACAACCCTGCTCATGCCTGTATCTTGGATTTCTAGTCTCCAGAATTGTGAGAAATAAATTTATGTTGTTTAAGCCACACTGTGCTACTTTGTTATGGCAGCCCCAGCAAGCTAATATAACTGCTATAGTGGAGCAAAGCTACTGTCAGACCACAGGAAGGCAGAGAGGGTACATGGAGGATAAATCCCCTGACTGTTCCTTCTCCCACTCCTGATCTACTTCTGGTGACCACTATTAGCTCAACTCACCAGAAACCAGCCAACAAAGTTGTCTGGGTGTTTCTATCAATAAAGGTGGCTTCCCAGACCTCAGAGCAAGACACAGAAGGGCAGAGAATGGACCTAGGAGCAAAAGTAGAAGAACCAGGGCATACACAAGAAAGTAGGGAGAAGGGTACCCATCACCCAACTCCAACAATTACCAATATTTTTCCATTCTTGTTTCATCTCTCTCTGATTTTTTTTCTGGAGTATTTTAAGGCAAATCCTAGAAACCATATTGTTTCACCCAAAATTAGCTTAGTATGCATCTACAATAAATAAGAACTGTTAAAGAATGACAATAATGCCAATACCCAATAAAATTAACAGAAATTCCCTAAAAACGTCTCATAGTAGTCTATTCTCAAATGTCCCCATTGCTTCAAAAATATCTTTTAACAGTTGGTCTGTTATAATCAGGAGCTAAACAAAGTTCATGCATCACATTCATGTGTTGACAAAACGGAGTCATTTGTCCCCTTAAAGAACTTCTCACATTCTGGATTTGGCTGTTGGCATCACTGAGTTGTTGCTGAACTTGATCCTCTGTCTCCCGAATTTCCTGCAAACTGATGGTTAGATTTTGGCTTGATTAGATTCACGGGTGGTGTCTTCTCTTGCATCACTTTGCAGAAACAGACTATCTGCTTCTCCCACTTTCTGTAATGTTGAGAATGATCTGTGGGTTCAGAGATGTTAGCTTCCTCTTGCCATTATCAAGTTCTCCATTAAGCTTTTATCTAATGGTGTTAGTTTTTATTGATCATTGCCTGGTCCATTATCTCATTCAGGTTTGCAAAATGCTGATTTTCCAAATCTATCATTCCTTCTGCATTTATTAGGTAGAATTTTTCTACAGAGAAGAATTTTCCCTTACCAACTATTTGTAACCCTGAAATAATTATTACAGAAAAGACATAATACATATACCTGTCTTTTTCTTTATCATCTTTCAGAATACTAAGTCAGTGAACTAGCTGCCAATGATTTTTTCTTAGTATTATTAAGAACTCATAATTTAAACATATATTTAAGGTGTTTAAATCCATTGCAGTCAGTATGTCTTTTGATGCCAAATTGTGCCATCTTTGGCCAGTGGGAGCCCCTTCAGGTTGGCTCTTGTGTCCTTTTGACTTGACACCATTAATATTTCATCATTTCCTTGCTATCAGGCACAATAAGATGGCCCAAGCTCATTTTGTGCAGTTCTTTCTCCAGAGCAGTCATCAGACCTGTGTCTTGGTCCCGGCTCACTAGAAAACAGGCTGAGGCAAAAGTGTAAGTGCTAACAGTTTACTGGCAAGAGTGAAATCCCAGGGAAGCAGGGAGGTTTAAAAGAAATGGGAAGTGAGGCAGAGGAAAGGATGAAGTACAAAGGGAGATGTTCCCAGGTGGTCACAGCTTCCCAATAAGCACCCAATTGCTCAGATGCTCACAGCCTCTTGACACAGGAGGCATGGAAAGACTGCATCTCAGCACAGTCTGCCATGTGGCATCCCACATGCTGTTATCTCCTCTGCATCCCTGAGTTGTATTTCTTTGCTGCTATCATGGCTACAGGGGAAGCCAGGATCTCCACATGGCCTGTGCAGCCAGCGTATTGTCAAGGTGGCTCTCTTGGCACTCACTGTTGTATGTGCGTACTCCTCAGTGTGTGCTGGTGGCAGTGGCTCTGGGCACAGCTTTATAACCAAGACAACAGTGTGAGTGACAGGGCTGCACTGACCAGGAAGCAAGGCACATGGCCAAGGCCCATTGGTACAGGGTGACCAAGTGGACCTGGAGGAGGAGTACATGAATGGGTACATCCACCCCTACTGCCTCTTAGGCTTTTAGACATGCTCAGATCCTTTTGCAGTATTCAGATCTCATGTGGGAAAAATCACCCATGCTTCTTTCTTTAGAGGGGAGGTACAAGTCTAGTTCTTCCAAATGATGGCCAGTTGCAATCTCCTCAAGAGATCTAAAAATGTTTAGCAAACAAAGCCACAGTCCCCACTGCTGCTGCTGGTCAAACAGCCAAAATCTGTGTTTATCATCTCACTCCTACACTGCTCATTTTGTTCTGTAACTTCCAATTTAGTGGAATCCTTACTAGGTACCCAGGTAAAAGTGTTCCCACCTAAGTATGAAGACCTCTAATCCAACAGAATCTAGGGTGGTGGGAATAAGAAGCTAAAATTCTGCATGTCTTCACTGGGAGTGTTAGGAGGACAATTGTACTTTCAGCACTTGGTTTCTGAAACCATGCATATCAGCAGCATATATTGGTTCCGGTTCAGCGTGGGTGTCACATCCAGTGTGGTGATCCTGCATTTGTCCCAAGCTGGCCCTTCGGCTGAGACTGTATCAGCCCATCACACCTTTTTCTATAAAGCCGGCTGTCTCGGTGATGAGGTACACAGCAGACTATTATATCCTGTGGTTTTGATCCCATTGTGTCACTCCTGGCTGGTAGTAAAATGTGCTTTTTGGTCTGTGACAATGTAACGTGGGTTATCATGTCAACAGTTGGGGCATTCTGTCCACCCTCAGACGGTTGCGCTGGCAGAAGCGCTGTAGGAAAAAACAGGTATGACACATTGGGCTCAAAGCCACAAGATAAAGTCGTTAAAGTCGTCTTCCATGTACCTCATCACCCAGAGGCAACTTGCGAGAGAAAAAAATGGCAGAATGACTTCGGGAAGTCTCAGCTAAAAGGCCAGCTCAGGGACACCTTGCAGGGTTGGGACACTGGAGGTGGTACATAGACTATCGTCTTTTTCCTTCCAGACCCCTGACCAACAAGCAGAGCCATTCCCTACTCCAAGGAGTCCACACTTCCACACAGTAAGCAGTGTACTGCTGGCAGCTCTGCCCACAGGGTGGATTTCCCTCCACCACTATTTCTAGGGCCGCTTCTGTGTGGGGCTGTAATATGGCACAGTCCATTTCTGGCTAGGGTCAACTTTGTATTAATGCTAGATCATGAATATAACCAAGTCCTATTGAGTGGCTCAGAGGGATATCAGTTTCAAGTGGGACAGTGGGGCTCAGAGGGTAAAAAGGACTCTCC
Organism: Homo sapiens; assembly: GCF_000001405.40. Taxonomy (NCBI): domain Eukaryota; kingdom Metazoa; phylum Chordata; class Mammalia; order Primates; family Hominidae; genus Homo; species Homo sapiens. The sequence goes on along the minus strand of NC_000011.10, from coordinate 35,846,292 downwards.
AGAATGTCCAAGCAGCAGTACAAGTTTCCCTCCCACTTAGGAGGTATGACCCAGCAGATCCAATAGTACTAGAGGTATACATGCAGATGATAATGCTGCAGGAGTTTTAATAAACTTCAAGAGGAAAGATGTAGCAGAGACCTCTAGGGTTCTTCAGCAAGGCCATGCATTGAGTCTGGTGTGCTCTCAAGCCCTGCCAGAGACTAAATGCCTGACCACGGGACACCAAATGACTACATGGCACCACAGATGTTCATTGTGATATGAGTATTATGAATCCAATGAGTCATAAGGTTGGGTGGATAGAGCAGTAATCCACTGTACAATAAAAATGATACAGTCAAGGCTGGGCGCAGTGGCTCATGCCTGTAATCCCAGCATTTTGGGAGGCCAAGGCAGGTGGATCACAAGGTCAGGAGATGGAGACCATCCTGGCCAACATGGTGAAACCCCATCTCTACTAAGAAAAAAAATACAAAAATTAGCTGGACGTGATGGCATGCACCTGTAGTCCCAGCTATTCGGGAGGCTTAGGCAGGAGAATTGCTTGAACCTGGGAGGTGGAGGTTGCAGTAAGCCAAGATTGCTCCACTGCACTCCAGCCTGGTGACAAGAGTGAGACTCTGTCTCCAAAAAAAAAAAAAAAAAAAAAAAAAAAAGATACAGTCAGGATGTTGCCTGATCAAATACAGAAGGCACAAGCAAATGACATGAACAGGTGGCCCAGACTCCCGTGGCACCTACCTCTTTTGCACCAATGCTTCTCTCAACAGGAGGACAATGGAGAAGGTCTATTGCTTTCCTTGCTATATAAAGGAGAGCTGCTTTTTGACCTCCCTGTTATTAGGGAATAAGGAAAAGCAATAATTCACCATATCAACAGCCATATATCAAGTGTCAGAGGTACCACCAGTGGCAAAGGAGCTGTGCTGTAACTGGGGCTACCTCCTGGTGAAGTTGACAGTAATCTACCACCATCCTCCCTGATGTGTCTGGTTTTTGCAAAGGCTAAAAAAGTGAATTGAATAGAAGTGTGATGGAAACCACTATCCTTGCATCCTTTAAGTCCTCAAAAGTAGCAGTAATCTCTGCAATTCCTCTTAAAATGAAGCATTGCTTCTGAGTTACTATCTTGGCCAGGATAAAGGGTAGTTTCCATATGGCCCCTCCTATCAAAATGACTTTTAACTTGTAAGCCAGGGAGCCAATGTGAGGGATCTGTTATCTGTTAATTGTATTCATCCCAATTATACATTCTAGCCAGAGTTATAATTGAGAACCAAAGAAATAAACAAGGGGTGGATTCATGGACTTTCCCCTTTTCAAAGTTACCCTGGCAAAAGGCAAATAGTTCTCTCTGGGGAAAGATAAATTATGAGTTCATATCGATATTTCCAGTTAAAACCTTAGATTACAGAGTCTTAATTCGTTTGAGTTTTTGTCTCTTGTCATATGTGCTAAAAAATCTTAGTTCATAATTACGTTAATAAAAGCACGTATTTGCTGATCCTGCAATATGTATAGGATAGTTTCATAATGACAATACCAATAGTTTCCTCTCTGTATGAGACTGTATCATTGCTCACTCATGTTTGGTGCCAATCTCTGTAGGGGATTATACATCTCTGTCCTGTTGGACTCAGGCTGTGTGTCTTTCTTTGGCCAATAAAATGAGAGTGGAATAAGAGTAACATTGGTCATTTACAGGAAGAAAGTCTAAGAGCCTGAGTACTTTTTTGTCTGTCTCAATGACTATCACAATATTCCAGACAGGTGCTCTTCTCCCAGCCTGAGTCACGGAGGGAAGACAACATGGACCAGGGCTGTAGCCAACATACAATAAACATGGGTGTAGCACGGGAGAAAAGAACCTTTGTTGTTGAAGGCACATTGATTTGGCTTTATTTGTTACTATAAAATAACATGATCTAGTCTATCTTGATTTATAGAGCATTGAATGCAGTTTAATATTTCTTCATGGTTCTTTTTAGTCCTTAGGATATATATCGCATTAAGGATATACTGTCAAAATACTATTGTTTTTAGAGTCATTTGCAGTAATTCTTCTTTATGTGGCTAAATCACCAACCTAATACATAATCATTATCACTTGTTTCCATTTTTCCAAGTTTATTAATTTCTTTTTTATCTTTTATTTATTTATTTATTTTTTGAGACAGGGTCTCGCTTTGTTGCCCACGCTGAGTGCAATGGTGTAATCATGGCTTACTGCAGGCTTGACCTCCTGGGCTCAAGTGATCCTCCCACCTCAGCCTCATGAGTAGTTGGGACTACAGGCATGTGTTACCATGCGTAGCTTTTTTTTATTTTTTTATTTTTGTGGAGATGGGGGTCTCCCTATGTTGCCCAGGCTGGTCTCAAACTCCTGGCCGCAAGTGATCCTCCCACCTCGACCTCCCAAAGTGCTGGGATTACAGACGTGAGCTATGACACCCTCCCTCCTTTTCATCTTTATTTATGTTTGTGTTTTTATTTGAAACATTGATACTGTTCCAAAGTTAAAATATACAACAAACTACATTACAATTAAGTCTAGGGTCCATCTCTGTCTCTCTACCCTGTTCCTTTCCTTTCCTTATAGGTCTCCATCTTAACTGTTTTTGGTTTATCCTTCTATTATTATCTTTTGGTAATATAAACAAATATATATGTTTATTAATTACCCCCCTTTCTTCAACAAAAGAGAGCATACCAGAAACACTTTCCTGTCCCTTGCCTTTCTTAGTTAACAATATATCTGGAAATATAAGTTTATATAGAAATCCGTCCTATTCATTTTTATAGCTGTATAATACTCCATTGTATGGATGCTCCATAATGGATCCAACCAGTCCCCTACTGATAGACATTTGGACTGTTTCTGTTCTTTTACTATTATAATTATTGGCAGTGGATATCCTTGTATATATGTCATTTCATATTCTTTCCAGTTTATTTTTGAGATAGATTCCTAGAAGTGGTATTGCTGTGTCAAAGGTTAGATGAGTTTGTAATTTTGCTAGACTGTCCCAATTTCCCTCCATAATGGTTTTTCTTTTGTATTTCTGCCAGCAACTTATGAGAGAATCTCTTTTCCAACAGCCTTATCAAGAGTAGGTAGTCAGACTTTGGATTTTTGCCAGTCTGATAGGGGAGAAGTGATATTTCTGTGTACTATTAACTTGCCTTTTTCCTATCCTGAGGAAGCTGAGTTTCTTCCCATATATTTAATGATCATTTGCATTTCCCTCCTGCAAACAGTTTATAAATTCTGTTCATTTTTCGGTAGGGTTGTTGCTGATTTTATTCTCAATTTTTAGAAGCTCTTTATCCATTGGGAATATTGATCCTTAGTTTATAAGCTGTATTTCAGATAATGCAAAATGGCACAATCCCATGCTATGTGCAGGGGAATTTGGGTATATCTAGCAAAATTACTAATGCATCTTCCCTCTGACACAGCAACCCCATGGAGACCCCGGACCTGACATTGCTGAGCTGCTGAACCAGCAGTAGCCTCCTCTAGACTTCTTGTTATGCAAGAAAAATGAACCCTTAGACTGGAGGGTGGTCAGTTTTTTTGTTTGTTTTTGTTGCTTGAAGATGCTTCCCTACATGATCTACATCTGTTTTTATACATACGAAGCTATTATAAATATTTATTTAGATGTTTTTCTCTTCCACTAGGCAGGTCAAGAATATCTATTCTTTCTCTCTAATCTCTACCTGTCACCTCTCTCCTTCTCATTTATCTCTTATATTTTCTTCCGTTTTTTTTCCCACCATAATGTTATCCTTAACCAGTGATTCAACTATCTTTTGGCCAGGTGTGGTGGCTCACGCCTGTAATCCCAGCACTTTGGGAGGCTGCGGTGGGCAGATCACCTGAGGTCAGGAGTTCGAGACCAGCTTGGTCAACATGGTGATACCCCCGTCTCTACTAAAAATACAAAAATTAGCCAGGTGTGGTGGTGCACACCTGTAATCCCAGCTACTCGGGAGGCTAAGGCAGGAGAATCGCTTGAACCCAGGAGGCGGAGGTTGCAGTGAGCTGAGATTGCGCCACTGCACCCCATCCTGGGCAACAGAGCCAGACTGTCTCAAAAAAAATTTAAATTAAATTAAATTAAAAAATAAAATTAGGTTCTGAGGCACAGTCTAATGCCTCCCTCCCCACCCCCACACACACCCTGTGCACAAGAGTTCCTAGGGGAAGCAGAAAGGTAATAAGAGTGATTTTATACATTGTTTCTCCATTCTTCCTTTGGAATGAGCACATGGAGACTAGAAGGTGGATGCTATGGTACTGGGGCAGCGTGTTTGCTGTAGGTCTGTCTGCTCCAGAGATGTCCAAGGGAATCGTGGAATTGACTGGGCTATGTACAGAGGCTGGGCCCTGTCTGGCCTCCTTCTGTGCCAGCTCAGGACTCCTTAGCTGTGTGTCTTCTTTGGCTACCACTCCTTTGGCCATATAAATGGTATATCTTCTCTCTCTGATCTAGGTGGAGCCCACATATTTCAAGGAAGTCTTACGCTTTGGCTCAGCTTATGGCTGTGTTTCTCATTTCGTATGGAAGTTTCCGAAGTCAGCACTAAAGTCTATAGACACTACCTTATCAAAATAAAAGCTCTAGGACCTGAGAATTTATATTCTGTGATATTTATTGCAGCATCATTTGTAGTGGCAAAAAAAGGAAGTAACATAAATGCTTATCAATAGGTGCAATAAATGATGGTATATTCATACAATGGGGCATTCTTTATTGCTCCTTAAAAATGAGCTAGAGTTGGATCTGTTGCCCTGGAGAGATGGCAAGATATACTGTACTTCAAAAGCTACCACTGTGAACTATGTGCTGTGTTCCTCTTTTTCTCTCTCTCTCTATATTTTTAGAAACAGGATCTCACTATGTTGCCCAGGCTGGAGTGTGGTGGCTATTCACAGGTGTGATTATAGTGCACTGCAACCTTGAACTCCTGGGCTCAAGAGAGCCTCCTGCCTCAGTGTCCCAAGTAGCAGAGACTATAGGCGTGTACCACCATGCCTGGCTTTCTCTGTATTTCTTAAATGACCAAAAAACCTTCCTTTTTTGTTTCTACAGATTTGTTTACATTTTTGAATATTCTGTGTATGTTGGGCCCCAGTTTCTTCATGTGTAAATGGCAGATAACAATAGTACTTCTCTCATAAGGTTGTTTGGAGGATTAAGTGAGCTACAGTAGGTAATATGTGAAAACAGGTCTGTATTATAACAAGCATTAAGACCTTTTGTTTACTGTTATTATTGTTTTCAGTGAATGTAGATAAATATGTAGAGAGATGTTCTCAGGCTGTTAATACTGGTTATAGTGTGGCAGGGGAGAAACACTGGAAAGAGAGCGATAAACTGTGATTTTTGCCAAATGGAAATATTATTTATGGTAAAAATTAGAGTGGAAATGTGGAAATTAACATTCTAAGTTATATCTATGATATAATGAATATGAAAAATCTATGTATATGTGTGTAAAAATTAAAATATTGATTTAATTAGGTGACTGGAGTGTGGGCAATTTTTATCTCAGATTCTGTGGCTATTTCAATGTTGTTTTTCCTATCAACTATTTTAAAAGACAGCCTAGTATATAGGTCCTGGCACATAGATACTCAACAAATGGTAGCTATGTCTATAATAATTCAGAGAATGGCTTTCCTAGCAGCTTCCTGTCCTTGGGAGCCCTCCAAACACCATGGCTGCTTGCAGCAGCAGCCCTTAAGGAACTCCTCTCCCCTCCACTGGATTGCTGCTTAATTTTCCTGTTTGCAGAGTTAGTTTGGTTCTGTGACACTAAGCAGTGAGGAACCATGATGATCTTGACATGGGGGTGGGGAGGTGGTTGTAATTACAAGTAATGTAATCACAAGTCCCTGTGAGAGGGAAACAGAAGGTCAAAGCTAGAAGACGATGTGACGATGGAGGCAGAGATTGGAGTGGTGCACCCATGAGCCAAGGAATGTGGGCAGCTTCTAGAAGTTGGAAGAGGAAAGGAATAGTCTCTCCTGGGGTCTCCTGAAGGAAATCTTAAAAATACCTTGAGACCCATAAGGCTCATTTTAGACTTCTGACCTCCAGAACCATAAGAGGATAAATTTGTGTTGTTTTAAGCCACTATGTTTATGGTAATTCATTTCAGTGGCAATAAGAAACTAGTATAGGAACCTCAGCTAAAACAACTCTTAATGCTTTGGTTTCCTGTATAATCCTATTTTGCATGACTACAGCTGAATATCATGTTGTTCTTTCTCTTTGAATTCTTTCTGTGAACAAATCCTAATCTCTTCTCAGACAGATGAATGCCTTGGGCAGAAAGAGTTATGCTCAGAAAGGCAACTGTTTACATACATATTTACATTTACACAAATAACAAAACCAAGAAGACTGGAAGGAAATACACCAAAATATTAACAATGGTGGAAATAGCAACTCATTTCCTGCCTTGAACTTTTATGGATTTTCCCTATTATCTCTACAGGCATTTCTTTTGTAATAAAAAGCATAATTTTACATGATTAGGTATGAGACAGTCTCAGTATTTACATCATTCTCTGGTACTGTAGAAGTTAGTATAAGGGCTAGACCACTATGAGCTGGAGAGGCCAGGGAAGTTTTCATGAAGTAGCGAGGAATGTGAGCAAGGCCTGAAAGGATATTGATATGGTTTGGCTCTGTGTCCCCACCCATGTCTCATCTTGAATTGTAATCCCTGCGTGTTGAGGAAGGGACCTGGTGGGAGGTGATTGAATCATGGGGTGGTTTCCCCCATGCTGTTCTCATTACAGTGATCCGATGGTTTAAAAGTGTTTGGCAATTCCCCTCCTCTACTTCTTCTGCCACCATGTAAGACATGCCTTGCTTCCCCTTCGCTTCCCACCATGATTTTAAGTTTCCTAGGCTTCCTCATGCATGTGGAGCTGTGAGTCAATTAAACCTTTCTCTTTTTTTTTTTTTTTTTTTGAGACGGAGTCTTACTCTGTCACCCAGGCTGGAATGCAATGGCATGATCTCAGATCACCGCAATCTCTGCCTCCTGGGTTCAAGTGATTCTCCTGCCTCAGCTTCCTGAGTAGCTGGAATTACAGGAACGTGCCGCCACACCTGGCTAATTTTTTTATTTTCAGTAGAGACGGGGTTTCACCATAATGGCCAGACTGGTCTCAAACTCCTGACCTCAGGTGATCTGCCTGCCTCGGCCTCCCAAAGTGCTGGGATTACAAGTGCGAGCCATTGCACCTGACCTAAACCTCTTTCTTTATAAATTACCCAGTCTCAGGTAGCATCTTTATAGCAATGTGAAAATGGACTAATACAGATGGGCATTTGAGAGGCACAGTAGCAGGCAGAAGGCGTGGCTGGCAGTGGCCATGAAGTGAGCCAAGCACAAGAGTGCATTTTCCTGAGTTAATAAATAAACCCATTTGACTTAACGGGAACATCTGCAGAGAATATAATACTACAAAGAAAAAATAATTTATCCAGCATTTATTTTATGCTAGATACTATACTGAGGGCTTTCCTGCATTATCTCATTTAATCCTCTGAACGATGTCATGAGGAAGGTTCTGTAATTATCCTAAATATATAGATGAAGTAATGGAAAAACACAGATGCCACATAACTTGCCAGCAAGTGGTAGAGGCCAGATGTGAACCCCAAAATCACTCCAGAGCTTATGTTTGAGAGTGGGATTGGAGAAGTAGGCTGAATAAGAATTCTTAAGGCTTTGAAATATCAGGTGTATTCATTTTCTATTGCCAGAAATTTAGAAACTTAAAATGACACGCATGTATTATGTCATAGTTCTGTAAGTCAGAAGTCCAGGCAGGAGCATTTGGATGTCTCTTTAGGGTCTCACAGGCCAAAATCAAGGTGTTTCCAGACTGGGCTCTTATCTGGAGGCTCTGGGGGAGAAAATCGGCTTTCATGCTCATCCCGGTTGCTGGCCCAATTCAGCTTCTTGTGGTTTGCAGATTCTTGTTTCCTGGCTGGCTGTTGTTGAATGTTTCTCATGCTTCTAATTTCTGAATTCCTCTTCTGCCACCAGCTGAAGAACACTCTATACTTTTAAAGGGCTTGTTTGATTAAATTAGGCCCACCTAGATAATCTCCCCTTTGCTGTATAACATAATTAGGGACGTGACAGCTCAACCTATTAATATGTTCCACCCACACTCAAAAGGAAGCATATTATATATACATGGATGAGTGTCATGGGGCCATGCTTATAATTCTGCCCGTCCCCAGCCAGCCGGGAGTTCTGCTTTTTGTCTTGGTAAAGGATTGTTACTGGAGGTTTTATAGAGGGATGTGCCTTGCTGAGTAGTGGGTTTTACAGAGACGACTGGGCCTGAGTATGGAGCCGGAACTGAGACAAGGAAAGAGGGAAGACAGGGAGGCCCCAAGAGCAGGGGAGGGGTGTGAAGGCCACGAAGAGGGAGATTTAGGGGAGTGGAGAGGAGAAGACAGATGGGAAAGAAATTAAGGAGAAAGGCTTTCTGGGGCTTGGTGATCGATTTTGCAGGGCTCTCAACCTTTGGAACACGTTTGTAGTCATAATTTCCTCTGACCCTCCTTACACACCTGTGAGGCAGAAGGCATTATTCTTTCCACTTGACAAACGAGGGAAGTGGCAAGTCCCCACACATCTCTGTGCCTCAAAGATCACACTATGGATCTGTGGCCCAGGTCACTGGATTTAGCCTGGCCCTTCCTGGAGCTCAGGAAAAAGAAATTGTGCTGGACAGATTTGTGGCCATCCTTACTCCTGCCATCTTCCTCGCTTGGGCCCATGGGCAGTTCCTTTCTAAGGGAAACAGCTGGGGGAAGCTGATTGACAGGCATACTGCTGAGGACAGGAGAAATTGCTTTTAGATTCCTGGACCCTCTGCATTCTTAGGCTGTGAAGAGGGTGGAAGTAGGAGGGTGGGAGGGCAGAGAGAGGATTTTCCTCATCTCTGTAAAGTGGGGAGAGAGAATTTAAAAAAAAAACACTCTGAAAAGAGAATGCGAGGGGCTAGGAAGGGTGGAGGGAGTGTGGAGAGTGAAAGCGGGGTGGAGCAGCCCAGTGGCACCTGTTGATTATAGATGATACAGATCTATAGAGAAAAATGAGGCATTGCAGAGATACAACAAGAAAAAAATACCCACACATAATCCTGCAAGGCAGAAATAACCCCTTCTAAGATTTTAGAGCCAAAGTTCCCAGGTTTTGTATGTGAATGTGTGCATTCTGTAACAAGTATCTGCTGTTCTAGAATCTGCTTTGTGGTTGATCAATATTGACGACAGCTGTCAGGGATGGGCCCCTGGGGCCATCAGAGTATCTGCATCTCCCAGAAGATTTTGGCAGAGGCTATTCCCTATCCCCCTCACCCTGCCTCCATGACCAGTGGACAGGCAAGCCCACTGTTGGGTGGGGGTTTGGGGGGTTGGGGGTCCAGGAAAGCAGTCCACTTAGCCTGCTGCCCTAGGCTGTCTATTCTTCAGAAACAAATCACTCAAAAACAAAAAAAAGAAAAAAAAAAAACCTCACTGTATTAAGAAACCTAACTCAGTAACCTCAGCCTTCAAATGCTTGCTTTTTCTCCAGTCTGCCTGAATAGGAGAAAAGCAGAATGAAGCATTGAAAATGGCACGTATTGATTGGCATGGCTCACCAAAAGAGGGCACTTTTACTAGCCTTTCAAATTACAATTTATTCAATAGTGAAAAAGTAACTCAATTTGAGAGAGGCACTCCTTAGGAGTTGCATTTTTGCCACATAAATTATGTCATTATCATTGTTCACTTGTCATTCTCTGGAAGCCACCGGGCAAAGCACAGTTCCTGGCATGCAGGAGGCAATCAATGAAGGCTGTTGAATTAATGAGACTATAACTGGCAGGAAAGTTCAAATTTCAGAGACTTTGGAAGTTCGATGTGGTATGCAATGAGTTGAATTTGCAAAGTTTATCCCCTTTGGTCAGTACGAGGAAGATCACAGGGTTTAGAATCAGCCTGACCTACGTTCCAATTCTTTCCCTTTTTAGCTCTAGGAATACTTCACATTCTGGTTTCCTTGTTAATAACGGGATAGACATCTCTCTAGCATGTCTGTTGTGAGGATTCAAATAGACGCTCCCCGCCAAATGTTCTACAGACCAGAACAGAGCAGGTATCAGAAATACCCCTGGACAGTGGTACTGCTAGATCCTATTTTGCTAGAGACTGGGGTTTGACTTCCCAAAGGGGAGGCAGCCATGTCTTGAGTCTAGTGAAATAACTGCTTGGTTTTGTTTTGTTTTGTTTTTGGACGGAGTCTTGCTTTGTCGCCCAGGCTGGAGTGCAGTGGCATGATCTCGGCTCACTGCAACCTCTGCCTCCCGGGTTCAACTGATTCTCCTGCCTCAGCCTCCTGAGTAGCTGGGATTACGGGTGCCTGCCACCATGCCTGGCTAATTTTTGTATTTTTAGTAGAGACAAGGTTTTACCATGGCCAGGCTGGTCTCGAACTCCTGACCTGAGGTGATCCGTCCACCTCGGCTTCCCAAAGTGCTGGGATTACAGGCATGAGCCACTGCACCTGGCCAAAATAATTGTTGAATAAACAAAATGTTTCCCTTTACCTTCCACTGCCTCTTCCTTGCCTGCAATTCCAGAAACTGCCACTAGGGCCAAAAAGGTGGGTCAACTCAGGATAGCAATGGGCCATTTTTCCGTACTCAAATGATCTGAATTTCTTTGGATCTATTTGCATACTAGCTTATTACTTATTTCATTGTTAAAGTCCTGAGATGCATCCTTGCTTGGAACTGTCAGTTGAAGATAAGACAGAGGATACATGTGCAGGAATCCTTGCAAGTTTCTGGGTTCTTGCACTTGGGATCAGTTGATGACAACTTGGGAGAGGCTGCCTGAGCTCAGGAGTTGAGACCAGCCTGGCCAACATGGTGAAACCCTGCCCCTACTAAAAATACAAAATTAGCCACGCATGGTGGTGGAAGCCTGTGGTCCCAGCTACTCAGGAGGCTGAGGCATGAGAATCGCTTGAACCCAGGAGGCAGAGGCTGTAGTGAGCAGAGATGGCGCCACTGCACTCCAGCCTGGGTGACAGAGCAAGACTCTGTCTCCAAAAAAAAAAAAAAAAAAAAAGGAAACTAAACAGTAAGAAAATATGACATAATGGTAGGTAGTAGTAGGTGTTCCAAATACAAATAAAGCATGGTAAGGAGATAGAGTACTATGGAGGTAATATTTGGGTTGACAGTGTAAGAGTAAGACTTTGTAGATATTTGAGGGCAGAGGAACATTCTAGGTAGAGGAAATAATGCCAAGGCAGGAGCATGCTTTGGATATGAGGAGCCATGAGACCAGCATGACCAGACAGCAGTGAGCAGGGGGAAGGTGGAGGGAGATAAAGTTGTAGAAATGGCCAGGGCCCAGATCATGAAACCTTAGAGGATGTGGTAGTGATTTGAGATTCTAAGTGTTCTGGGAAATCATTAAAGGGTTAAAATTAAAATTAAAGTCAGATTATGGCAATCTACAATTGCACAGTAGATTGCCATAATCTAACTTTAATTTTCAAATGATCACTATAACTGATCTAAGAAGAAGATTGTAGTGGGGAAGAATAGAGTCAGGGAGTCCAGTTAGAAGCCTGCTTCAATCAACCGGGTCAAAGGGGATGGTGGGTTGGACTAGACTGGTAGTGACACAGATGATGAGAAGTGACAAGAGTTCAGATGGATTTTGAAGGTAGAGCCGACAGGATTTGCTGATGGATTACATGTAGGAAAGACAGAAATTAGAGCTGATATGACCGTCAGCCTTATTCAGAATGTGCACTCAGGCATGGGCCAAAATCACTCATGCCCTGACCCCAAACAGACTGTAGGTCAGCAGTCCCTAACCTTTTTGGCACCAGGGACCGGTTTCATGGAAGACAATTTTTCCACAGATGGGGTGGTGTGGGGGGATGGTTTCAGGATGAAACTGTTCCACCTTAGATCATTAGGCATTATCTAGATTCTCATAAGGAGCACACAATCTAGATCCCTCACATGCACAATTCACAATAGGGTTCACACTCCTATAAGAATCTAATGCCACCACTGATCTAACAGGAGGTGAGCTCAGGAGGCAATGCTTGCTCGCCACTCACCTCCTGCCACGGACTGGTACTGGTCCATGGCCTGGGGGTTGGGGACCCCTGTAGCAGGTACTATGACAGGAATCTAAAAAGAAAAAGACCTAAAATTTTGGAGCCAAACAGCTCTGTGGAAAAAGAAAAAAAAAAAAGGCTACCAGAAGAAAGATTCTAATATGGTTGTAGAGTCAGAATGCTTGGCTTCAAATCTAGATCCACTTCTTACTGTGTGACTGAGGCAAGTTATTTAATTTTTTTAAATCTCAGTTTCTTCCTCTAGAGAATGAAGATGATAATTTCTACTTTGTGGAGCGGTTGTATGAATTTAATGAAGCACTCTGTGAAAACCTCTTGGCACAGAGCTTGGCCTATAGTAAATGGTCAAAAAATGACTATGTAACAGCCAACGCCCCCCACCCCCCAACTCATTGGCTTAAGAATCATGTATTGTTATTGCTCATGAGTCTACATGTCAGCTTGGAAGCTCTGCTGATCTGGCCAGGCTTGGCTGATTTTGTGTCAGCGGTCAGTGGGCAGGTTGGCTGGGAGCTTGCTAGTCTAGGATGGCCTCACTCACATGTTTGGAGATTGGTAGGCTGTCAGCTGGAACAAGGGGGTAAATGGGTCACGTGTTGCTCCTCATACAACAGGCTAACCTGGGTTTACTCACATGTTGGTGGCAGGGTCCCAATGGAGAGTGTGGCCTCTTGAGGCCTAAGCTTAGAACTGGCCCCATGTCACCTCTGATGCGTTCAAATGGCCAAAGCAAGTCACAAGTTAATTCAGATTCAAAGTATGGGGAAACAGTCAAGTATTGGAAGAGAAGAACTGCAAAGACACATTGGAATGGTGTGGATGAGGGAGGGAAGGTGAATCGGGGCCATTGTTGTAATCAATTTACACATTAGGTACCATCATCATTGTAGTAGTGGTAGTGATGATGGTGTTGATAGTTTGGTACCCTGGAGAAAGCCATGCCACTGGGCTCTTGGGTCCCATCATCCCAAGAGCAGGGCTCTAGAACAGCCAGAAGAGCAAGAAGGTTCTCTTTATCAGCATCTCTCGAGCTGAGCATTTCCAGCTCCAGAATCAGCTAACTCCTGCTCAAAACGATGAGCGTGCAGAATGGTGGGTTCCAGCTTCCCCTCAGCAGCCCTCATCAGACTGCAGTGCAGGAGATGGACCTAGGGAAAAAGCTGACAGGTGGACATTGTTAGCTGCTGAGAATTCTGAATTTATCCTACAGCAATGACTGCAGGCTTCCCAATGAATATGCAGAATGTCCTGGGGGAAAGTAAACAGGTTGCAGCATGTGGTACTCTTGGCATGCAGGAGGTCCCTGTCTTAGTCCATTTGGGCTACTATAACAAAGTACCCTAGACTAGGTTGCTTAAGAACAACAGAAATTTAGTTCTCAAAGTTCTGGAGGCTGGAAAGTCCTAGATTAAGGCGCTGGCAGATTCCATGTCTGGCAAAAGCCTGCCTCCTGGTCCATTGATAGTTGCCAGAAGAGGTAAGGGAGCTCTCCAGGGCCTCCTTTTTTGTTTGTTTGTTTTTTTGAGGTGGAGTCTTGATTTTTTCACCCAGGCTGGAGTGCAGTGGCGCGACCTTGGCTCACTGCAGCCTCCGCCTCCCAGGTTCAAGCGATTCTCCTGCCTCAGCCTCCAGAGTAGCTGGGATTACAGGCATGTGCCACCACGCCTGGCTAATTTTCGTATTTTTAGTAGAGACGGGGTTTCACCATGTTGGTCAGGCTGGTCTCGAAGTCCTGACCTCTGATCTGCCCGTCTCAGCCTCCCAAAGTGCTGGGATTACAGAGGTGAGCCATCTTGCCCAGCCTCCAGGGCCTTTTTTATAAGGGCACTAATCCCATTCATGAGGGCTCCACCCTCATGAGCTAATCACATACCCAAAGCCCCACTTGCTAATACCATGATACTGGGGGTTAGAATTTCAACATATAATTTTAGAGAGACATAAACATTCAGTCCATTGCGGCTTCTGATAAAGCTGATGAGCCTATTTTTGGGGATTCTAGAGTCTCTTTTTCTATGGCTTTTCCTCCTCTTTCAGCATTCTCAGGAAGAGAGAAATTACTTCCTAAAGCAGTGACTCACTAACAGCAAAATCACCAGCATGTGTTGTGCGTGTGTGTGTGTGTATGTATGTGTGTGCATATGCGTGGTGGTAGATGAAGGTGGGGAAGGAGAGAGGGGACTACTTGGGGTAAGGGACAGAACCAGATCTCTGCCTCCAATCAGGAGTACTTTTGGAGTGGCACTGCCAAAGGTAGCTTTAGAGATAGGGTTAAATACAATCCACAAAAATTCCATGCCAAGAGACAGAGAAGAGGCAGAAAACCTCTATTTTTCTCAATTTGTTCTCACAAATGCCTTTGGGTGGCACGAAGTGCTTCTTCACAGCTCTGAAAATCACCCAGCACAGGGTTAGCCAGACTAGACCTACTAGAGGCTCAACAGGGTTATGCTTGAGCATCAGCTAGGTGTTTTTTTTTTTTTTTTAAGGGGACCACTCAGGACTGAGTGAAATTAGCTGTGGTTCCAAAGGACCTGTTAACTAGGCAAATAGCTGAAACACACAGAGCTTAATCCTTGCATGAGTTGTAGGAGCTTGTAAGTGAGGACTAGGGCTGGCTGGGAGATGGAAGCTCTAGTTGGGCTGTGTGATTTGGAGCAAGTTCCTTCCTTCTCTGTGCCTTAGTTTCGTCATATACATGGCAATAAGCTGGAACAGACAATCCGAAGGTTCCCTCCAGATACAAATTCTCTTGAATGTATGTAACAGACTACTTACCTACCTGTGGCTTAAACAGAAAGGGGTTTATTTATTTTATACAAATTCAGAATTAAGCAGTCCAGGACTGCAGCTCAATGATTCTGTAGGACCCAAGCTATTTATTTTTCCTGCTTTGCCACACTTAGAGTATTGGCTTGCTGTCTCACGGTCACTGCACCTCCAAGCATCACATCTTTGTTCTAAGCGGATAAAGGGGAAGGGCAAAAAGAGAATGAAGGTTGACACCAGCAGAGTCTGTCCTAATTTATAAGGGAAGCAAGGGCTTCGCTAGAAGCCCCAACCTAAAGATTTATGCTTGTCTCCTTAGCCAGAAGTGTGTTTCATGGCCACAGAACTGGTGGCTAGGAGCTCTGGATGGGTGTCGGGTTAGCCAATCTACAGGGTTGGCTGCGAACAATAAGTACAAATTCATATAGTCTTGAGGGAGCATCCTTGGGTCCTCATGGCCATGGGAACTCTGGCCAGGCAGCTGGCCTCCAAATGGCCTGCAAAGAGATCGTCTCTCTGGGAACAATTTCTACATCATCCCATAGGACTATAAGTTCCACTAAGACACAAACATTGTTTGCTTGATCTCAGTTGGATCTTCAGGATCTAGTGCAGGACCTGGTATCTTACAGGTACATGACAAACATTTGTGAATGAATGTGCGTCCCATCAACATGTTTGGACCTTAATGGAGTGGGCCACTCAGGAGATGAGGGTTCCGGATAACTGGATTCTCTGACAGCCTGAGGATGAAGCAGAAAGGCTTATGATCTCAAATTCCAACAACAATGCTTGAGTGGCTTCCAGGTCTAAGGTTCCAAGGTTAAAAAAAAAAATATATGCTATATGTGTCATAGTCAGGGTCCTGCAGTAAACAGATGGCACAATCAGGGTGACGGGGGAGAGTTTAGTAAGAGACTGATTACAAAGGTGTGGCGGGGTTAACGGAAAGCAATAAAGGGTGGTGAAGTCCTGGGGCTAGACAGACTGGGGAGCTGTTACCACCCCTGGGCTGAAAGGGTAAGGGGAGGAAGTGGATCCCCAAAGAAAAAGATAGTGATAGCTGCATCTGGATCTGTGACTACAGCTGAATGGTGATCTGGAACTGCAGCTGCAGGAATGGTCTGCTTGATAGGAGACTGAGAGGAGCATAGCCTCTGGCCACTGCCACAAGCTGGGGGAATAAATTCTGCCATCTCCCTTTCTTTCCATCCACTGGTCACCTGTTGATGCATCTCAGTGCTGAACCCTACTGGAAACCAGAGGGGAGGGTCCCATTGATGCAGCCCATTAAGATCAAACTCCAGGGCACAAAGCTAGGGGGAGAAGAGTGGTGTGATATTGTGACTTGTAATAAGAAATATATATATTTGGTCTTTGTCCTTATTCTCAAGCACAGAGCTCCTAAAACTCTTGGAATCTCCTAAGTGATAGTAGTAGTAAAGGTGAATGGAGTGTCTTGTGTTATTCATAATAAGCCCCTTTCAACCACACCTGAGTTTACATAAACGAGGTGACTTTTGGAATTTCAAGCCTTTCCCCAATCCCACCCCAATCTCCTCTGGGAGGACAGAAGGACTGAAGACTGACTTGATCACCAATGGCCAATGATTTAATCAATCATGTCTCTGTAATGAAGCCTCCATAAAAACCCAAAAGGATGAAGTTTGGAGAGCTCCCAGGAAGGCATAAACATGGAGATTCTGGAAGTGCGGCGCCTGGAAGATAGCATGGAAGCTCCTCCCACTCCCCATACATTGCTCTATGCCTGTCTCCCATTTGTTCCTGAGTTTTATCCTTTTATAATAAGTTAGTAATCGAATAAGTGAACTATTTTCCTAAGTTCTGTGAGCTGTTCTAGCCTAAATGGTTGAACCTGAGGAGGTCATGTGAACCTCTGATTTATAGTCAGTCAGAAGCATGGGTGACAACCTAAACTTGCAATAGGTGTTTGAAATGGGGCAATCTCATGGGACCAAGCCCTTAACTTGTAGGATTTAGATGTTATCTCCAGGTAGATAGTGTCATAATTGAGTTAAATTATAGGACACCCAGCTGGTGTCCATCAAGAAGTGGAGAATTATTAATACTTGGTGTGGGACAACCCTCTCTCTCCCATATTTGGTCAAAGAAGTGTTCTGTGTTCAGTGTGGGCATGGAGAAAAACAGTTGCTTTTTCCTATACAAGTCAGGAGAGTGGCAGGTGTGGGGAGGTAGACGGAGGAAATCTGGCACAATGTATAATTTGACTTTCTCATGATTACTCTTTTAGGTGGATATTACTGTGCTTACTTTTAATAGCAAACAGAGGCCCAGAGTTGTTCAGTCACTTGTCCAAGCTCACACGGCTCATTAGTGGCAAAGCCTGGACTAGAGCTCAGATTGTCTGACTCCCATGGCTTGTTCCATGCCACCTGCCATACCAGCCTCCTAGGGTGACAGCCTGCTCATTTCTTTGGCTTCTGGATTCTTCTTGGGAACGATAAGACCAGGGTGGGAAAGACCTGCCTTTCTGTAGCAGAATGAATTCTGCAAAGTGCAGGATTGGAAGTTGAGTGACAGGTATGTGGATTGTCTGTTTAAGCCTCTTCATAATGGAAAGAGAACTGGGTCAGCAGTCAGCAGGGCTGAGTTGTGGGTGGGCCCCACTAACAATAGGTATTATTTATTGAACCTCTACTATGTGCCAGAAACTGTGTTAAATGCTTCATGTACATCATCACTAACCCTCGAAAAGCCTATTCTTTCCATTTTATTGGCCTGAAAACTGAAACATAGAGAGGTTAAAATACTTGTTAAAGGTAGAAATAGGATTTAAAATCAAGACCGTCTAGCTACAAAGGCAAAGCTCTTTCCTTTACTCTAATGGTTGTCCTTTGGAAGACTGCAAGCCGATTTTGACCCACTTGGACCTCAGGAATTTTGTTGAAAAAAGTAAAATCAGTGGCCAACACCATAAAAATTGTACAATTTCACCAAAAAAATATAGATATCTGACTTTTACTGAAAAAAAACTGGAAGGTCAGAAACCCTGGACCTACTTTCTTATATGGCAATAATTGGCTGAAACTGAATAACAGCAGCTCCCCTTAGGTGGGGTATTTGTTCTCATTTCTGCTACAGTCCCTGCTACTCTTTATTGTCTCCAGTTCTGAGGCTGAGAATCAGTTGCCACTTCTTAACCTTCCTGGACTGTTGGTTCTTTCACGCTCAGCCCAGTTCGCTTACATATGTTGCCTGCTTGGCTCCAGTAGGCATTTGGGCTTGTGTCTCCAAAGTGCCCACTTCATCCAAGATGTCTGTTAGGGCAGAAGAAGCAAGTATTGGACCTTCTGTTTATATGTATGGTCTCATTCCTTATTAATGTTCATTTGCATGTTTCATAATATACTTAATATATTAATACAATAGTCAATACAATAGTTATGGCTATAATTTATAAATAAATTATGCATATACATTGGAGGTATTTGCTCAGAATCATTTTTCTGACAGGACTCCAAGATGGAAGATTACTCTCAATCACTACCTTTATTTATTTATTATTATTATTATTATTATTATTATTTGAGACAGAGTCTCACTCTGTTGCCCAGGCTGGAGTGCAGTGGTATGATCTTGGCTCACTGCAGCCTCTGCCTCTGGGGTTCAAGCGATTCTCCTGCCTCAGCCTCCTGAGTAGCTGGGATTACAGGCATGCGCCACCATGCCCAGCTAATTTTTGTATTTTTAGTAGAGACTGGGTTTTGCCATGTTGGCCAGGCTGGTCTCGAACTCCTGACCTCAAGTGATCCACCCGCCTCAGCCTCCCAAAGTGCTGGGATTTCAGGCATGAGCCACTGCGCTCGGCCTCAATCACTACCTTTACACCAGCTGAGAGACATTTCTTCCATTAGTCAAAGGAAGAAAAATCCCTTTGACTTCCTGGGCCTATATATATATATATATATTTTCATTTGGAAAGTGGAAACATTGATACTGTCTACCTTGAAGGATTGTTTCAAAATTCCAAACACCCAGCAAACTGTAAAGTGCTCAGCAATAATAGCAGAAAGCCACCCTGGGAGAAGCCAGTGGGTACTGCACATGGTGGCTGCTCCTCTCATGTCAATGTCACTCTGGACGGGTGGTTGGAAGGCTCCCTGTAGGGCGTGGAGTCATAACGCCAGAGCTGCCAGCTGACCTGGCTCAACCCCCTGCTCAGCAGCAACAAGGATTGATTTTCAGGTTCACCAGTGCCGTTGATGTGCTCCTGGGGAAGACAACAGGCCCTGCTCTCATTAAAGAGAAGCAGCTGCCCCATTTCTGTCCACCTTCCCCTCATCTCCAGCCTACACTTGGTCCCTCAGGGAGAACATTTCCCATTTCCTTCAACCCCACTGGCTTCCTTTGTCCTGGGTTCATTCTGGCTTGGGGAGAGTCAAGATTTAATGGCGACTCAAACACAGGTGAGGGTGCCAGCTGAGTGCTTGCCTTAGTTGTGGTCATGACAAGGTTCCCTCCCACCCAAAGGGAAAAGATGACCCTGAGACTAGGCAACTGATAGCTTCTCAAGGGCAGGCCAGGCTAAGAGTGGGGGCTTAGGGGTCCTGGGGACAGGCCCTTTAGTGCACACAGTGGGTTAGGGTAGAATCTGAAAGTTGGCTGAGTCTCTGGGACAGGATGCCCCAAGCGCTCGCTTCTTCCATTCCAATGACCAAGGATGATTTTAGAGTTGGCTCAAATCACCAAGGTATTAAAGAGGTCAAATTAGCCAGGATTTACAGCCTATGACGGCATGGAGCGAGAAGGCCCAAATGTCCTGCTCTGCCCAGGACCAAGGGCTTTTGGTGCTAAAACTAGGAAGTTCAGGGCAAGCTGGGGTAAATGGACGTCCTAGGTGGAGCTGGAATTCAAAATCCTGCTATCTGTCTCCAAAGTCTACGTGCTAAGAAGATCCTCTAGAGTGCCCTGAGTGAGGACCATGAGAGCCACTGAGAGTGTGTGCAATGCGACAGGCAGTGGGCCCCTGGAGGGGGAAAGAGAAAGAGTCAAAGGTCGGGATAAATTCTCTGTGTTGTTTCTCTCTCTGCCTTAGGGTGGGGCAGGCAAGAGTAGAGAGGGTGGTCTCCACACCGGTCCTGTTTGCAAAATGATATTTCAGTAGGAAGAGGGCCAGAGTCTGTGTAGATACTAAGACTTACTGTTTATGGAGTAATCTTTACAACTTTGGTCCAAACTCTTGTGAGGTAGGTTTTTACAGATGAGGAAATCAGTGCTTTGAGAGGCTCAGGAACCTCCTCAAGTGCCCCCAGTTGAAAGTCGCAGAATCTGCACTTGACCTCAGGTCTGCTTGCTTCCAGTGCCTGTGCTTTTAACCATGAGGCAACAGTCTTCCCAGGTGAATTTTCTTAAAATATGGATCATTTTGAATTATTATTATTAGTATCATTATAACTCAGGAGCTGAGAGGGGTGGAGGTGGGTGGGTGGGAGCTTTGTTCCATCTTCCTGTGTCTTTTGAGAGTATAAGTGTATAGTACTTGACTTTGCACTATTGGCTGTCTGGGGTTAAGGCAAGGAGAGGGGGCCTAATTTCAGTGTCTTATATTTCTGACTTATTAACCTGATCAGAAGAGAAGGTCAAAGCTGTCAAGTGCAAAGCAGGTGTCTGTGGATTTCAATTATCTACCAGAACCCTCCACCTGCAACCTAGTCTGTGGCTATAATTAGGCCAGAAGATACAGGATGGGGGAGGCTGCCTGAGCCTTGTCTGAGACTGTGTGTGTGCAGTGGGGGTGAATGGAGCTGCCACACGTTTATCAGTGTTACTGATTATAAAATGCTCAGCTTTGCAACACTGCCTATGGACATGAACCAAAATTAAAGTCTTATTTAAAATATATGAGAGACTGATAGTCATTTAAATAGTTTAAAATAGTGTGAGATCCCACCAACTGTAAAATACTACCTCGTTGGGAGATCCAGTTCCACGAAAGAGTTACATCCTTGGTCCTGAGAGTCTACTAGCTGCAGTCTTCTCATATTAGGGGAAAACTCATTCATTCACTCATTCGTCATTCCACAAACATCTACGGAATGTCTCCTATGGGCCAGGCACTGTGTTAGGTGCTGTGAGGATATCAGGATGAGATTGACTAAGGTCTTTCCCTCATGAAGTCCCCAGGTCATTAAAGGAGATAAGATACACACAAAAATGAACATAATTCTGGGTGGACATGAAGAATGGGTGAACATTCCAGACAGAAAAAATGGCCTGAGAAAAGATCTAGTTTGTAAAACCAATATACTTGGGACTGGGAAGAGCCTAGTTTGCCTTACAGAGAATAGGGGGAACAAAGGAATACAGAATGTAGCTCCTGGCAGGGAAAAAGTAGCTCCTGGTGTCAGACCTGATTCCTTAAGATATGCAGATGTACAAGCCAGAAATAGGTCCCAAGAAGACCTAATGGTCAATAACAGTAGTTAAATGTGGATAAATTAAAACCCCCAGGAATGACACGAACTTGGGAATTGCCAAACCTAGGGCACAACATGATGAGGTCGGAAGTTCAGCTGAAAGCCTGGTATAGGCTGCAGATCGAGTGCATTTTGTGGACAGAAGTGGAATGCAACTCAGAGGTGGGTTGTGGAGGCCGGAAAGGATGTCAGGGGTTGGAGGGGACAGTGAAGGGCATTGTGAGCAGAGAGAATTGCCTTAAGAAAGGTGAGGTGGAGGGAAGCAGAAGGTATGCCTCGGGTGGAGGAGTCCACTGGTTCCACCAGATCAAAGAGGTCCTGCTCTAACTTTCCCCACTCTGGACAAGTGGACAGATCAGTGAGCTGAAAGGGAGCCCAGGTTTTGGAGGCAGATATCCCTGGGTTTGATTGAACTTCAGTTTGGTTATTTACTCTGTACCTCCCTCGGCCTCAGTTTCTTCATCTGCAAAAGGGCCTTAACAAGGCTTCCCTTGTGGGGGTGCTGTGAGGACCGCAGGGTCTTAGAGCTTTGGGCACAAGTCATAGTGAGTCTCTCTCAAGCTGCCTTACCTTCTGCTCCGAAGCCCCAGGTTAGCTTCCTCCTCAAATCACAGGAACAAATGTAGGCACCATCTGGGTAAAGGAGAAAGGTGGTACCTTCTGGCAGGCTTTTGTGGGCATGAGGAAACTTCCCAGAAGCCCCCGCAAGTCACATGCTCATTTCTGAACCACTCATGACCAAGAGGGCGGGACTTCCCTTACACCAATCAGGTCGGCCCCTGGAGCTGGGAGACTGAGCCTGTTTCTGGAGGCCCCTGGGAGCGGGAACCCCTGCACCCAATCCTGCAAGAAGAGGGAGTAGACACCCACTCGTTAGGCAGCCTGAAGTGCCTGTTCTAGAGGCAGTTTGCAAAATGCCGGCACATAGTAGGTTATCAGTTCGTGGGAACTCACCCTGTGGGGATTGGGCAGATTGCCACGCCAGGTCTGTAGTGCCGGTGGCTACAGACAGGCAAGCTCAAGGTGCCTTTCCTTAATGTTATCTAAGGTCATTAAACCTCTAAATAAAAGGGAAGGCAGAAAATGGAGATTCTGAGACAATCCAAGCAGCTCAGAGTGATTGGTATCAAAATTATAATGTCTATAAAGTCATTTTAAATCCATATTGCATTTGACTTTTTAAAAAACCTGTAACGCTTCTCCCTATTCTCTAAGGTATAACAACAGAGCCCTTTTTATTTAGTTCTCACAACCACGTTAGACTCTTTTGGGGGAAATTATAGAGTCTGTCCTGTTACCTCTTCTGTGCTATCTGGAGGGTCTTTGCACCTGGTGCCACAGTGATTGTGACCCTGGTAGGGGTCAGTCTAGCTGGGTAGAAATCAGCCCCCGCACTTTATAGTTGTTGCACTTGGGCAAGCTGGCCTCTCTGTGCCTCTTCTTTCATCTAGAAAAATAATAGTACCTAGCACTTCAGGTTGTTATGTGATTAAAACAGTTTCATTTTCTCTGACAGAGTGGCCTGTTTAAGATAAGGAGAATTTTTGAATCTGGGTAGATTGGATTCTTGCCACTTCCTGCTATCTCATCAAAGAGCCAAACATAGAACAGGGAGGGCTATGTGAAGGAATGTGCACTTCATCAAAAGCATGCATTCCGTTAATTTAAAGAAATTATAGTATGATTATTCTATCATAGCAACAAGATATAAATAGATATTAATAAGTAAAATCAGGTTAGTTGCTGAAAAAATACCATTCATAATAAGGTTGCATTATATAAATGTTTGTATATGTAAATGTCCTGTAATGCCCATGGACTTTAATTGCTGCATTTGGCATGGAAAATTGCCAGCTCTGCTACTACTAGTGGTGTGATCTCAGGCAACATTCTTTACCTCTCTGAGCCTCAATTTCATTGGCCATAAAATGAGACTAATTTTTTTCTTGTATTAAAGGACCACATGAGATAATGTATGTAAAAAGACTGAAAACTGGAAAGTACAATAGTTTTTTAGGTATTTAATCATTGTTGTAATTAATAGCCACAGTGAAAATATATTCAAGGACAATGTAAAGATTTGAGCTTACAGTTTCAAATACCAACCTTAAGAATGATCCAGAAATACTAAACTCATGTGTTTTTTTGTTTGTTTTTAAAACTATGACATCTATAAGTTGGAGACATTTGCTTTTTGAGACATTGTCTTTTTTATTATATAATCTTTAGTCCTCATGGCATCCTCTTTAGAGACCAAACAGCAATTAGTGAACTGTTTCAGACAGAAATCTGGATGGTCCAAGATCCTGGATTAAGATAGCTCTCTTTATGAATGCATTTTCAGAGTAAACAGGAAAAGTGTATTAAACCAAGCACTTCATTGTGGATAAGGAAAATCGATATCCTGTGGGTTGGACTGTTTTTAGTCTTACTACAAAAATGGATGCACTATTTATACCTGTTTTCTCCAGTCATGGCTATTAGCTCTTCACTTCAAGTTCACTCACTCAGCCACTACGGTGGAGAGCCAGTCATTGTAGGTTAAAAGCAACTAATGTTAGACCCCTGCTGGCCTGGTCTGGCACTGCACGGGGAAACACAATCTCCGATTCTTATTAGTGGGGAAATTGGTTTACAAAAGCAGAGCTGAGACGCCAAGGATTTGGTTTTGCCTCCCTTGATATCTAGGTGCCAATATGGGAGCAAGAAGAAAAGTGGGATTTGCCTTACAATGGAGAAGTTCTTGAGGAGGAACTGGGGATTATAATCTCCCTTCAGGGCGGTTGGGACTTGGATCAGCCTGCCCCACAAGCTCCCTCTTCATTGCTAACAGCTTGGAGGCTGGCACTGAGCTTTTCCATGTGTTCACACTCATTGTTGGTTGCACTCTCCAACCTCTAGGGGGCGCAGAGGCGTTCGCCTCAGCTTTTTTTTTTTTTTTTTTTGAGACAGAGTCTCACTCTGTCCCCAAGGCTGGAGGGGGCAGTGGCGCGATCTCAGCTCACTGCAACCTCCGCCTCCCGGGTTCACGCGATTCTCATGCCTCCACCTACCGAGTAGCTGGGATTACAGGCATAAACCACCATGCCCAGCTAATTTTTGTATTTTTAGTACAGACG
Source organism: Homo sapiens (assembly GCF_000001405.40). Taxonomy (NCBI): domain Eukaryota; kingdom Metazoa; phylum Chordata; class Mammalia; order Primates; family Hominidae; genus Homo; species Homo sapiens. The sequence continues at coordinate 35,821,745 of NC_000011.10, read as the reverse complement.
GGGTTTCACCATGTTGGCCAGGCTGGTCTCCAACCCCTGGCCTCAAGTGATTCACCCACCTCAGCCTCCCAAAGTGTTGGAATTAGAGGCGTGAGCCACCACGCCTGGCCTTCAGCTTTTTCATTTTGTTGCTCCAAGACAAGGAGCCGGGACTAGGAAGGGTCAAGGGCACGATGGAGCGCTCAATGATACACGTGATGCGGCTGCTACAATAGGAGTCGTCGACTGTGGGTAAAAAAGCAACCAGAATTACAATGCTTTTCCTTCTTGTGGTCTGTACTTTCTCCTCTTCTCTCGTGAAACTGGAATGAATGGGGCCCAGAGAAAACGAAGCACAGAACAAGAGAAGGATAGCAAGAAGGGCCCAAACAAAACAAGAGCCTCAAATGGGCAAAGCTTTTGTTTTGGGGAAAGGGATCTCGGTTAATGCTCCTGTTTGGTAGAAATCAGACATAACAGGAATGAGGTTAGGGAGTGGTAAAGTGGTAAGGGGCTTGGCTCCACTTCCAACTCAGTGTTTTTGGTTAACATGAATAGGTAAACCCTAAAGGATTGGGATTGGGGAATCATGAGAGATGGGAAAAATCCCACTTTTCTTTGCTTGAACATGGCCTAGCAGATGACCTTTTCTTCTCACAGTAGAGAGCTCTAAGGAAGGTTATCAAAGTCCAAAAGTTAGGGTTTTAACTCATTTGACCTACTCTACTGGCCCTATGACTTGAAGGTCACAGTCGTGAGATGGGATTATACTGAGAACCAGGGTATCGTTCAACAATGTTCCTTGATCTCTTCCTCATTAGGGCTTGTGCCTCTTCAGAGTTTGGCTGGAGTGACACAAATCCACTCTTCCCAGTTAAAGATAAGTCATCCTGATTAGCTTCCCAGAGAATGTTCTGTGATTGCAGGAAGGAAAGTTGTGATTGCCAATCTGAACTTGGAGGCCTCAGTGATTTTCGGAAGCACTGTTTGCTGGGCTGAGTCAGCAGAGACAAACCTAACCTTGATTTTCTGGAGAGTGTTCTTCTACAAGGACAGATCCTCAGACACTTAGCCCGTCCCCTATTAATGAATACTGACGTCATTACCACATTTTTTGCCCTTAAAAGCAATGCTACATGATCATTCTTATGCAAAAAGCTTTGTACCTATGTCATATTTCTTTCAGGAAGATTTCTAAAAATGGGGTTGGATACCACCAAATTTCCTATCCAATAACCTGTTTTATTACTACACCAATCAAGTTATGATAATGATGCTAATATTGATAACTATTTCATTTCTTGATAACTTACTATTTGCCAGGTACGGTTTTAAGCACTTTTCACCCATTATCTTATTTGATCCTCTTATCAACCCAGTGTGGCAAGTTCTATTTTGGAGATGAGGAAATGGAGGCAAAGGGCATATAAGTTACTGGTTTAAAATGACTTAGTAAATGCCAGACCCAGGCATTCTGATCTAGAATGCCTCCCATTATTCACTCAAAGACAACTTACCTCTATTTCAAGAATAGAGAGCTTGGGCAAAAGGCAGCCACTGGGCTTAGTGAAGTTGGCCACTTCACCTGGGAAAGGAAGACAACTGGAAACATTTAATTGGAAAAGTTTTTATTGGAAATCTTGAGCCTTCATTAATAAATCTTTGATGTTGATATAAAAATCCAAGTTCAAGGTCACAAAAGGATTTCACTTCAGCTGTACCTATGCAACCTCCTTTTAAAATGCATAATTCAATCAACACAGTTCTACTTAACCTCTGCCAAACAACTGGCTGAACTGATTTTTTTTCCAGTTAAATTAACTGGTTGTCTTGGTGGTTTTGTCATGTTAGGCTGAGTATTGTGAAGTGAGATGGTGGGTTGATCCAATTCAAGGCCATACTTTGGTTGTGCATTTCTAAAAACAAAGTCACTTGATAGGTGTGAAACATCACAATGAAAACTGGGAGCCAATCAGGCAATAGCTTTTTCCAGGCATGTTTGTTGTCCATGAGCTCTTCTAGATGAAGCTCCTTTATTTCTGGGAGAGGAGTAGGAGGAAGCTGAGGAAAGGGATGAGGAAGAGACAGGAAAGAGAGCTGCCCCAGTAAGTGGGGATATTTATTCTTTATCATTGCTAAATGCTCTTGTTACCTTCTGGTGGGTCTAATAATCTCCTAAGAAAATACCACTCTTGTGTCTCTTCTTACTTGGAAGTTCATGAACTCTGTACGAGACAGCCGGTGACCACATGGGGAGTGTTGTGATCTGGGTGTCACGCATACTTTCTAGATGAGGAGTGGGCTCCTCACTAAATCACCAGCCTGATCACCACACACACAACATATGACCAGTTTGTTGGGGGAGGGGGTTGCAGTGCTGCAAAAACCTCACTAATGAGATGGACAAAACTGCACTTCCAAGAACTCCTTTCAGGGAGGTAATTGTATGGGATTGGAAGAAATAATTTGAAAGCCATTTGGAAGTGGATAGGGTGAGACCCCAAAAAGGTTAGGCTGGAATAACAACAGATGGTCCCTAAATGGTCTTCTAAAAAGAGGGCCCGGGCTTTTATTTCTGTGAGTGTGGTAAGCAGGTGGGGACACAGACTCCAGCTCCCTACCCCACACCTGCCTCCATCTTCTCTAAATAAATGTTGACCTAATATCTAAACAATAGCAGTTTGGAGGGGTGCCAAGTCATTATTCTTCCTGATATGCCTATATTTCCCTCTGGTGTTGCACACACACACCTACTCTTACTACACCTCCCACCCCCATGTTGCTGCCTGTCACACACTGATAGCCCCACAAGGCACCTGACGGTTCCTCTGATGCCTCAGGCTAACATATCAGGGAAGGCATTTGAGAATGTTTCATGGTGAACACTGTTAAGAGGCCAGATACAAACTGCCACCTTTAGTGGCCTTCCACCTCAGTTTCCCAGTCACCATTCGTTTGAGTCAAGAGGCTTCCCATGCACAAGGCTTACTGGGCACCTGAATACCCTGGTGATCAGTATATCGATGCGGTAGAGATCTTAATCAAGCAGGTCAGTGCTGTTTTATTCTTTACTATCACTCAAGAGTATGACAATAGTGAGCCTGGAATGTAACCTGGAAAAGAGAACCAGGAGGGAGGGAGGAAAGAAGAGAGAGAGAGAGAGGAAGAGAGAGAGAACCATAGCTTGTCAGCGCTGCACCCCATATTACCGACGGCACCACACTGACAAAGAAGCTTGCACTATGCTGAACGTTAATGTCTGTGCAAGTCCTGAGACAGAGAATTGCAGCCTATCAAACTCTTCCCTTTAGAATCAAGGGAGAAACCTTGGGATGTCTCCTAGAATGTTCTAATGTGGGCTCTTGAGTCACTAAACAGACATTCTCTTCTGGGATGCAGTGGTCAAATATGGAGAACTCAGCTTTCCCAATAGCCAGGTGACCTTAAGCAAATCCTTGAATCTCTTTGGGCCTTTGTTCTCTCAACAGTTAACTCAGGAAGAGTTAGATTCATCTCTAAATCAGTGTTTCCTAAAATTGTTACACAGAACTGCCAGAAAACTAGAAAATTGTTACATGAAAGCTCTACAATGCACGTGAACATATTAAAAGCTCCCAGAAATTCTACAGGGAAGAAACCTATTTAACTTTGTTTGGCCCACTGTTTTGCTTCCCAGTTTATTTGACTGTGGTACATTTTTTTTTTTCGTGGTGTATTAGTCCGTTCTTTCACTGCTATAAAGAAACACCTGAGACTGCATAATTCATAAAGAGGTTTAATTGGCTCACAGTTCTGCAGGCTGCACAGCAAGCATGATGCTGGCATCTGCTCAGCTTCTAGGGAGGCTTCAGGAAACTTACAATCATGGTGGAAGGCAAAGGGGGAGTGAGCACTTTACATGGCCAGAGCAGAAGGAAGGTGGGGGGAGGTGTCACATATTTTTAAACAACCAGATCTCACAAGAACTCACTATCATGACAACAAAGGGCGGATGTTGTTAAATCATGAGAAAACTCCCCCATGATCCAATCTTCCCACCAGGTCCCACCTCCAGCATTGGGGATTACATTTCAACATGAGATTTGGGTGGGGACACAGAGGCAAACCATATCACATGGCTTGTGCACATTTGGAGCAGTACTAGTCTCCATGAAGTCTACATATGGATTCAGCTTTCCTTGTATAGCTTCC